>NC_000006.12:159919274-160070790 GCF_000001405.40 Homo sapiens
AAGTTGAGAAATTGACATGTCATGTAGATGCTATGAGGAATCACTGGGGAGAGATTAAGATGTTCCTTCAAGCTTCAGATCTTTCAGAGAGATAAGTAGTGTGGAGTTGCACTGTTGGGAAACGAGTCTTGGCGTTCTGGCTCTTCACTTGTTCGCCTGCCTTCCTCCTCCAGCCCAGCTGCTGCAGTGTGGCATGTTACGCTTACACTTCATGGAGGAAATGGAACTGGGGCTGCTCCAATGTTCTCTTTTCAGGTTTTAATGGAAGGTTCTGCATTCAGCTGCACCAACACTGCTTGCAAACAAGAAAAGAACCGAGAGAGTGGAGAACACTGTGCAGGGACTTGGGTATGGATTCCAGGGAGTATCTGGAAATTCCCACCTCACAGGTCCATCTCACCTGGTGGTTGTTCCTACTGAAAAAGGATCCCGTGGTCCTGTGCCCTGAGGGCCACAAACAGCATAAATGTTCCAGAGCAGAGCCTGGAAGTGGGAGGGTACAGAGGGAAGACATAAGAAGATGGGGGTGGAAGCATGAAGGGCAGTTCTAAAGTGTCTTGGGGAGAATAGGAGATAAATTAGATGATAATGCACAAGGCCAAGGGCATGGCAAAATAAGGAACCAAGAAGAATGAAACCGATTTGATGAAGATAAGGATTAACAGTACACACAGTTATGAATAAAAGATGCATTATGTAATAATTAGCAGGCATCTATAGGTTGGTGCAAAAGTTATTGCGGTTTTTGCCATTGAAAGTAAATGCAAAAACTCGCGACTGCTTTTACAACAACCTAATACAGCTTCTTTCACCAAGGAGCTTAAATGTTTTAAAATAAACAAAATGTCGTTATGCACCCTACCTCCCTCCGCAGTTTGGAGCCCTTCCTTTTCCAGAATGATGCAGCCCAGGTCCCCCTACCCTTTGTTCTCAGCAGCAAGTCTCCGGAGAGGTTATATATATATATATATATATATATATATATATATAAACAAATAAATGATTTACCTTTTTGCCTTCCTGTGTACCACATTCAGATTTTGCTTTTGAAAATTCCATCAAGGCAGCTATGATGTCCATGTTTAATCTACTTATGTCTGCATCAACTGCTACCCTAACTTTTTCTCTTTATCACTCTCTTGCAATTAACATTTTGTCATACCTGTGTGCTACATAATACATAGTTTTTGTGTTTTTGAAGTCTATAAAAATCATATCCTATTCTATGTAGTTTTCTTTGTATTGTTTTTTCCACTCAGCATTATGCAGAGTGGTTCAATGTCTTTGTGTGTAGTGTAGTTCATTTATTTTGACTGCTAAAATATATTCCACTGAGTAAATATACTAGATTTTATTTATCCTCTTGTCAGTGGACTGTTTCCAGGTATTTTTTGAAATGTGGACATATTGCTATTTAAACAACTTTTCTATATATGTCTCCTTGTACACTTCCGCAAGAATTTCTCTTGGGTGTATACCTAGGAGTAAGATTACTAGGTCAGATTTATAAAACAATACCGAAGTGCTTTCAAGGTGGGCCGGTCAGATCAAGTGAACCAATTTACACTCCCATCCACGATATATGAGTCTACTTCCTTCACATTCTCTCTGTACTTCTCAATGTTGGCCAATCTGCAGGGTGTAAAATGGTATAACGTTGTGGGCTTAATTTACATTTACCAGATTACAAAAGTGGTTGAGCATCTTTTATGACTCTTAGCCATATGGTATACTGAGTTGAATAGAGTCCCTGCCTCCCCCAAAATTCCTGTCCACCTGGACCTCAGAATGTGACCTGATTTGGAAATAGGGTTTTATAGCTGTAATTAGTTAAATTATATTGATGTTATACTGGATTAGGATTGACCCTAAATACAATGACATATATCCTTATAAGAGAACCATGTGAAGACAGAAGTGATATGGTTTGGATGTGTCCCCACCCAAATATCATCTTGAATTGTAACTCCCACAATTCCCACATGTTGTGGGAAGAAAACTCTTTCTTTTGTAGATTGCTCAGTCTCAGGTATGTCTTTAACAGCAGCGTGAAAATGGACAAAATTGGTACCAGTAGAGTGGGGCATTGCTGAAAAGATAACCAAAAATGTGGAAGCGACTTTGGAACTGGGTAACAGGCAGAGTTTGGAACAGTTTGGAGGGCTCAGAAGAAGATAGGAAGATGTGGAAAAGTTTGGAACTTCCTAGAGACTTGTTGAATGGCTTTGACAAAAATGCTGATGGTGATAGGAACAATAAGGTCCAGAATGAGGTGGTCTCAGATAGAGATGAGGAGCTTCTTGGGAACTGGAGCAAAGGTGACTCTTGTTATGTTTTAGCAAAGACACTAATGGCACTTTGCCTTGCCCTAGAGATTTGTGGAACTTTGAACTTGAGAGAGATGTTTTAGGGTGTCTGGTAGAAGAAATTTCTAAGCAGCAAAGCATTCAAGAGGTAACTTGGGTGCTGTTAAAGGCATTCAGTTTTAAAAGGGAAATAGAGCATAAAAGTTTGGGAAATTTGCAGCCTGACAATGAGATAGAAAAGAAAATACTATTTTCTGAGGTGAAATTCAAGCCGGCTGCAGAAATTTGCATAAGTATCAAGGAGATGAATGTTAATCCTCAAGACAGTGGGGAAAATGTTTCGAGGGTATGTCAGAGTTCTTCACAGCAGCCCCTCCCATCACAGGCCTGGAGTTTTAGGAGGAAAAAGTGGTTTCGTGGGCTGGGGCCAGGGTCCCCTTGCTGTTTGCAGCCTAGGGATTTGGTGCCCTGCATCTCAGTTGCTATAGCCATGGTTGAAAGGGGCCAACATAGAGCTTGGGACATGGCTTCAGAGGGTGCAAGCCCCAAGCCTTGGCAGCTTCCATGTGGTGTTGAGCCTGTGAGTGCACAGGAGTCAAGAATTGGGGTTTGGGAACCTCTGCCTAGATTTCAGAAGATGTATAGAAACACCTGGATGCCCAGGCAGAAGTTTGCTGCAGGGGCAGGGCTCTCATGGAGAATCTCTGCAAGGGTGGTGCAGAAGGGAAATGTTGGTTGGAGCCCCCCACAGAGTACCACCTAGTGGAGCTGTGAGAGGAAGGCCACTGTCCTCCAGACCCTGGAATGGTAGATCCACTGACAGCTTGCACCATGTGCCTGGAAAAGCTGCAGACACTCAACACCAGCCTGTGAAAACAGCTGGGAGGGAGGCTGTACCCAGCAGAGCCACAAGGGCAGAGCTGCCCAAGACAATGGGAGCCCACCTTTTGCATCAGCATGGCCCCGATGTGAGACATGGAGTCAAAGAAGATAATTTTGGAGCTTTAAGATTCAATATGCCCTGCTGGATTTTGGACTTGCATGGGGCCTGTAGCCCCTTTGTTTTGGCCAATTTCTCCCATTTGGAATGGCGGTATATATCCAATGTCTGTACCCCCATTGTGTCTAGGAAGTAACTAGCTTGCTTTTGATTTTACAGTCTCATAGGTGGAAGGGATTGCCTTGTCTGAGATGAGACATTGGACTGTGAACTTTTGAGTTAATGCTGAAATCAGTAAAGAATTTGGGGGACTGTTAGGAAGGCATGATTGGTTTTTAAATGTGAGAACATGAGATTTGGCAGGGGCCAGGGGTGGAATGATATGGTTTAGCTCTGTCCCCACCCAAATATCATCTTGAATTGTAACTCCCATGATTCCCACATGTCATGGGAGGAACCCAGTGAAAGGTGATTTAATTATGGGGATGGATCTTTCCTGCACTGTTCTCTTGATAGTGAATCAGTCTTATGATATCTGATGGTTTTAAAGAGGGGAGTTTCCTTGCGCAAGCTCTCTTCTCTTGTCTTCTGCCATATAAGACGTGCCTTTCACCTTCACCATGATTGTGAGGCCTCCCCAGGTTTATTGGAACTGTAAGTCCAATAAACCTCTTTCTTTTGTACATTGCCCAGTCTTGTGAAAAGTAACTAACACAAGAAGGATAAGTTGGAGTGAGGCATCTACAAGCCAGCAAACACCAAAGATTGCCAGCAACCTCCAGGAGCTGGGAAGAGACAAGGAAGGATTCTTCTCTAGTGCTTTCAGAATGAGCATGGCTCTGCCAGCACTCTGACTTTTTTCCCCTGGTCAATGTTAAAAAATTTCTCTAGCAAGTCCATAATGCTGTAATTGCCATAGCCTTATATAAATCTTGATATCTGGAGGGCAATTCCCTCTGCTGTTCATTTTGTTTAGGATAATAGAGCAACTGTTGCCAGGGCTCTCCCCAAATTCTTTTGGATTCATTTGCATTCTCCATTGCACTACCAGTTTTTTCTGGGAGTACTTCCTAATAAATTACTTTCACATGTATCTCTGTCTCAGCGTTTTCTTCGGAACAAACTTATTTTAAAAAACATCCCATATAGATTTTGGAATATCTCTTCAGGTTACATGAAAATACTGTTGAGATTTTGTTCTGGAATTATATAGAATGTATAGATCAGTTTTGGAGCACAATTGTGGCCTTATGATAAGTATTTTTTTACATGTGAATATGAAATATTTTTCCATTTATAGTTCTTTTAAAACAACTTTTAATAGTTTTAATAATTTTCTGAGTAATGGTCTTGCACATATTTTATTAGATTTATTTCTAGGCACCCTCTAGTTTTTGTTGCTATTGTAGATGGTGGGGGGTTGCTATAATTATATTTCCTGTTGCTAGTATGTAGAAATGAAATTGATTTTATTTTTGGTTCTATTTTTTGTGTATGTGCCTGGAAACTTTTGGTTGAATTCTGGACACTGCATATAATAAATGTGTCTCAGGAATGCTTTGTCAATCTAGAGAAGCCTAAGGACTACTTCTTGAAGAATATTTTTAAATGCAGAAAATAAAATCTATGAGATTACAAAGAAACCAATTATATGAAAATGTAACTGTATTAGTCTGTTTTCATGCTGCTGATAAAGACATACCCAAGACTGGGCAATTTACAAAAGAGAGGGGTTCAATTAGACTTACTGTTCCACGTGGCTGGGGAAGCCTCACAATCATGGCAGAAGACAAGGAGGAGCAAGTCACATCTTACATGGATGGCAGCAGGCAAAGAAAGAGCTTGTGCAGAGAAACTGGCATTTCTAAAACTGTCAGATCTCATGAGACCCATTCAATATCATTAGAACAGCACAGGAAAGACCCCACCCCGTGATTCAGTCATTTCCCACCAGGTCCCTCCTACAACATGTGGGAATTATCAGAGCTACAAGATGAGATTTGGGTGGGGACACAGAGCCAAACCATATCAGGAACCCTAGTTAAGAATGCTGCAGTTATGGGTGATATTATTATCTTCTTCCAGAGGTGTGTGCTGCAAGCTTTGGTTAGGAAGATAGAGTGAGTTTGATCATCTTAATCTAATCACGAACTGAGCTAACTTGAGGCTGATCTGCACTTTGGAAGATGTTGTCTCTCTCTGATTTGCACTCCCCTGCTGGGGTACATCTCTCCGGAAGTTGCAAATAGGTGCTCATTTTAATGTTAGATAACTTTTAACCAAGAGAAAATCCCAACCACCCTGTGTTTTAGGGAATAGTATATTTGGCAGAAGCAAATACATTTCCACAGATAATAGCCTCAGACAGATTGTAGATATCAAGACATTTAATCACAGGGTTCTGACATTTAAGAACTTGGGAGTTTGGAGTTTTGTTGGCTTCCAGAGATAGGCAGAACTTAATAAGCCAAATCAATTATTCTTTAGTTTTCTGCTGAAAAGGCTATAAATAGCATTTTACAAGTTCTGTCTGACATCTTTTTATGAGGAACATTATTTCCAATATTTTTGTGACAGAAAGAACATTTCTAAATATATTTGTTAATTACCAAATAATAAGGCAAATGAAAGATCAGAGGTCAGTTGCCTTCCACCCTTTCTTTCCATGATTCAAACAAATGTTTAAGATATTTTTAAAGGTACAGTTTTAACCTTTTGGTTAATTTACATTGTATTTTGGCAACAGAAAGGGTTATATAATAGTGCAGCCTCCATCTACCAAAAAGAGATCTGAGGGGAAAAAAAAACCTCACTATTTAAATTTAGAAATCTTGAATGTTTGGTTAAGAAGGAACTGTTTTCCCTTTTGACATTTTTTACAGGCTTTATTGAAACTGGAGCTTTATATTCTTTTTTTAAAAAGAAACAACAATAAATATAGTACAGTACTTTCCATAACACATTATTTCAGTGGCTTAAGGTCAGCTGGAAGAAAAATGCAGTTCTCCACAGTGTGTGGCTTTAAAGTGGTCATTATAATTCTCTACTTTATTCTCCAAATTAGTGCAAACATTTATTGATCACCTCCTGCATGCCATGCACCATGCTAATCATAAATTATGCGATCCTGGTTCAGAGATCTTTGATTTCTTACCACGCTGGAGTGTTAGCCATACAGGACTGCTTTGTGCTAGGCAAGCCAGCAAGTCAGGGGCTCAAAAACAAAGCAGAATAAGAAAAATTTCAACAAAACATTCATTTTCAATAAACTCATTTAGCATTTTGCATCCAGAAGGATCTAGAAATTATTTTTACTTTCAGCATACATATAAGTTTTGAGTTGTACGGTTTGATATTGTTCTCATTTGAAGTTCATAGTGGGTGTCATAATCTTTTCAGTACTTGGGAACCACTAAAGTTCTCAAAGTAGTTTGCGTTTTAAGCTCTGACTTTGCCAAGTTGATTGAGAGAAGCTTCAGTGGAAGAAAGGATACTTAATTCACCCAGCCTGCTTCTCCTTTCCTAGTGCACCCTCTACCAGAATTCCTGAGCTAGGGAAAAGAAATGCAATGAGCTTGGAGACAGATTTTTTTTTTTTTTTTTTTTTTTTTTTTTGAGACAGAGTCTTGCTCTGTTGCCCAGGCTGGAGTGCAGTGGTGCGATCTTGGCTCACTGCAACCTCTGCCTCCTGGGTTCAAGTGATTCTCATGCCTCAGCCTCCCAAGTAGCTGGGACTACAGGCGCCTGCCACTGTGCCTGGCTAATTTTAGTATTTTTAGTAGAGATGAAGTTTTGCTCTGTTGGCCAGGCTAGTGTCAAACTCCTGACCTCAAGTGATCCACTCACCTCAGCCTCCCACAGTTCTGGGCATGTGAGCCACTGCGCCCAGCCCCTTGGGGAGAGATTTGATGCAGAGGACATGGTGATTTGAAAGTGATCATTTTTTCCCCAAGAGTTTGGACAGGAACAGAAAGGGTCAAAAGAAAGTTCTTTAATGATACAATGAGGACTGCTGTGGTCAGCTTGAAGGTTTCAAGGCAAATCAGGAAGAGGCAGCCCTGTACAATAAGCTTTACTGGGTGATGCTTGAGTGGGGCTGCCTGAGAAGAGGGGGCTCCCTCGCAGCAGGAGACCCTCCCAGAAGGAGAAGAGGGCAAGGGAACTCCAGGGCCAGAGAGAGTCAAAGAAGGGCCTTATGTGTCTAGGTGACGTCACTCAGCAACAAGGTGGGGAATGTCTGGGTCAGAGACTTCCAAAGGGCCAAAGTAGTTTGAGATCTGTGATGGTTAATTTCACATCAGCTTGACTAGGTATTGATATGCTCAGAAATGTGGTTAAATGTTATTCTGTTTTATCTGTGAAGGCATTTCTGGATGAGATCAATATTTGAATTGTAAGACCAAGTCAAGCAAACTGCCTTCCCCAGCGTGGATGGATCTCATCCAATCTGCTGGAGGTCTGAGCAGAACAAAAAAGGCTGAGTAAGGGAGAATTCACTGGCTCGGCCTGACCATCTTTGCGCCAGGACAGGGGTCTTCTCTTGCCTTTAGACCTGGACTGAAACTTACACCATGGGCTCTCCTGGATCTCCAGCTTGCCAACTACAGGTCCTGGGACCTCTCATCCTCTGTAATTGCATGAGGCAATTCCTTATAAATCTCTCTCCCTCTGTGTGTGTGTATATACATAGAGAGAGAACACATTTGCTGGGCATGGTGGCTCATGCCTGTAATCCCAGCACTTTGGGAGGCCGAGGTGGGTGGATCATTTGAGGTCAGGAGTTCAAGACCAGCCTGGCCAACATGGTGAAATGCCATCTCTACTAAAAATACAAAAATTAGCCAGGTGTGGTGGTGTGTATCTGTAATCCCAGCTACTCGGGAGGCTGAGGCAGGAGAATTGCTTGAACCCAGGAGGTGGAGGTTGCAGTGAGCCAAGATCATGCCACTGCACACTAGCCTGGGTGACAGAGCGAGACTCTGTCTCTTAAAAAAAATATATTTATATGTGTTATATATGTTATATAATTTATAATATAAATTATAACATATATTTATATATGTTGTATGTTATATTATTATATATAACATATATAAATATATATTATATATAACATATATAAATATATATTATATATAACATATATAAATATATATTATATATAACATATATAAATATATATTATATATAACATATATAAATATATATTATATATAACATATATAAATATATATTATATGTAACATATATAAATATATATTATATGTAACATATATAAATATATATTATATGTAACATATATAAATATATATTATATGTAACATATATAAATATATATTATATGTAACATATATAAATATATATTATATGTAACATATATAAATATATATTATATGTAACATATATAAATATATATTATATGTAACATATATAAATATATATTATATGTAACATATATAAAATATATTATATGTAACATATATAAATATATATTATATAACATATATAAATATTATATATTATATAACATATATAAATATTATATATTATATATAACATATATAAATATTATATATTATATATAACTTATAAATATTATATATTATATATAACATATAAATATTATATATTATATATAACATATAAATATTATATATTATATATAACATATAAATATTATATATTATATATAACATATAAATATTATATATATAACATATATAAATATTATATATATAACATATATAAATATTATATATATAACATATATAAATATTATATATATAACATATATAAATATTATATATATAACATATATAAATATTATATATATATAACATATATAAATATTATATATATAACATATATAAATATTATATATATAACATATATAAATATATATAAATATATGTTATATAACATATATTGTGTGAGTACACATACAGAATATATATAGTGTGTGTATATATGTATAGATACCTGTGTATATAATATATTAGAATATGTGCAGTTATCCACTGCATAATGACATTTTGGTCAATGATGGACCTCATATATGATGGTGATTTCTTAAGATTATAATGGAGCTGAAAAATCGCTATTGCTTGGTGACATCATTGCTTCTGTAATGTTGTAATGCAACACTTGATTCATGTGTTTGTGGTGCTGCTTGTGTGTACAAGCCTACTGAGCTGCAATCATATAATAGTATAGCATATACAGTTATGTAGAGTACACAATACTTGATAATGATAATAAGCAACTATGTTACTGGTTTATGTATTTACCATACTATACTTTTTATTGTTATTTTAGAGTGTGCACCTATTTATTAAAAAATTAACTATAACACAGCCTCAGGCAGGCCCTTCAGGAGGCATCCAGAAGAAGGCATTGTGACCATAGGAGACGACAGCTCCATGTATGTTATTGCCCCTGAGGACCTCCCAGTGGGACAAGATGTGGAGTTGGAAGACAGTGATATGGATGATCCTGAACCTACATGGGCCTAGGCTAATGTGTGTGTCTGTGTCTTAGTCTTTAATAAAAAGTGAAAAAAAAATTTTAATAGAAAAAAGCTTATAGAATAGGGATATAAAGAAAGTATTTTGTATAGCTGTACAGTATGTTTGTGTTTTAAGCTGAATATTATTACAGGAGAGCCAAAAAGTTACAAAAAAATTAAAAAGTTTATTAAGTGAATAAGTTACAGTAAAGTAAGGTTAATTTATTATTGAAGAAATAAATGTAGTGTTCCCTAAGTGTACAGTGCTCATAAAGTCTATCATAGTGTGCGGTACAGTCCTAGGCCTTCACATTCACTCACCACTCACTCACTGACATCAGAGCAACTTCTAGTCCTGCAGGCTTCATTCGTGGTAAGTGCCCTGTACAGGTGTACCACTTAAATAACTTTTAAAATACCCTTCACTCTGATGTTTGCATAATGACAAAATCGCCTAATGACATAGCCCTGTAGTTAAGTGACACATGACTGTATATACATTCTATCATGTATGTACATATATGACATTATGTTAATATAAAGACTAATACAGCGTAGTTCATAGGAACAAGGTTCATCTTACCTGTGGCTTAGCAGATGTTGGGCACAGTTTTGTGGGCTATGTAAAGTAGGTAGGCTCCAAATTGCCAAAAATAGATTTCTCTGGACTATATTTAAAGCAATCAATGTGGAAGAATTTGAGTTTGGTGCCAGTGGGCTTTGAGCTAGTGGTCTAGCCTGCTGTGAAGGCCTAAACAACATTGTAGGCCAACACACGAGGCCACGTCTGGCTCATTTATATAACTGCTATGGAGGAAAAAGAGGAGAGTCTTTCATCAGTAAACATCTCAGTAGCTAATGGTGCTTTCCCTAATTCTGGGGTTCTTTCTATTACGAGGTGGCAATGAGCTTGCGGTTGTATGTTTGCTGTAAACTCTTTGTCACCCTTGCTTGTCTACACCACACCAGGCTGGAGAGGGAAGCGAGGGCTCAGGTAACGGTGGCAGCAGTTATAAAAATAGCTGAATCCTCTCGGCCACCATCCCCGTTCTGGATTTTCCCTGGCAGAGTTCCAGGCGGTTCCACGTGCTTTCCCTGGCTAGCAGCCAGTTTAGTGCACCCACTACAGCCACTGGTGTGTTTGCTTAAAAATGTTTTTCTTGTTTTCTGATTAAAATATGTGAAATGCTTATCATAAATCATCTGGGAACAGGAAAATAGAGACTTAAAAGTGACCTATATCATAGATAAGTGCTAACACTTTGATGTACTTTTTCTTAGTCTTTTAAAGGGCATGTTTATAATATTGAACATCATTACTGCTTTGTATTCAGGTTTTTGCACCTAAGTTAAGTCATATGCCTTTCCTGTGTCATTAAATATGTTTTTGAAGCATATTTAATGCTAGCATGAAATTACACTCTATGGTCATAGTATGTTTGTCCAGTTATTGGACATTCAGGTTGGTACCCAACTGGCCCACTGGTAGCCAATGCTGCAGTTGCTACTGGGGCCCAGGCCACCCCTGCTGCTGTGCCTCCAGATGAGACTGGAAAGGGCTCCTGCCCCATCAGTGTTCACACTCCTACACATCAAAGTAAAAAGCTCTTTCTTGGTTTCTTTCTGCATCTCTGATCTTATGACATTTCATTAAGCTCATTCTATCAAAAGAATACAAACCTTCTCTCTGAGAACTGGTGAAACTTCCAAAAGCCAATAAAAACAAACTGGTTTGGAAAAGGAGAGAAAGCCTGGGCTGAAAAAAGGCTACAAGGGTGACAACTGAGGCACTGTCTCAATAAGGACACTGTGCAGAAACTTGATGTGTTCAGGCTAAATTTATGCCAGAGCCCACAGTGGGCCACTTCACACCTGTGGCTGTTATTAAAGAAGAAAAATAACAAATGTTGGCATGGATGTGGAGAAATCGGAACCCTCATAGATACCAGTTGCTGGTGGGAATGTAAAACGGTATGGTTGCTGTGAACACATGGAGTGGTTTCTCAAAAAGTTAAACATAGAATTACCATATGAACAACCAGTTTTACTCATAGGCATATACCCAAAAGAGCTGAAAGCACGGACTTGTACACATACTTATACATCAATGTTCATAACAGCATTATTCACAGTAGCCAAAAGGTGCAAACAAACCAAACACGTGTCAACGAGTGAATGGATCAGCAAAATGTGAAATATACAATGGAATATTATTCAGCCTTAGAAAGGAAGTTCTGACACACGCTATGACATGGATGAACCTTGAGGACAATATGCAAAGTGAAATATGCCAGTCATAACAGGACAAATGCTGTATGCCTCCACTTATATGAGGTCCCTGGAGTACTCAAATGCATAGAGACAGAAAGTAGAATGCTGGTTGCCAGAGGCTGGAGGGAGGAGGAAGTGGGGAGTGAGAGTTTAATCATTACTGAGTTTCATTTTTTCAAGATGAAAAAGAGTTCTGGAGATGGATGATGAAGACAGTTTTACAACAACGTGAATGTCCTTAACGCCACTGAATGGTACATTAAAAATAGTTAAGATGGTACATTTTATGTTATGTATACTTTATGTTATGTATATTTTATATATAATAAAAAGACAAGAACAACACAGTGGGTTGCACAGCAGCAGGGGTGGAGCCAGAGGCTGGAATCTATTAGAAAAGTGAAAGACTGAAAAAAAAGTCAAGGTTGACTGAAGTCCCAGGACAGGGATTATGCCCATCTTGTTAGTATCATATCCTCCAATCTAGACTAGCACCTGACATCTAGCTCAAGGTTTAGTGAATAAATGAACTAAGCTGGAAAAGATAAGCACAAGCTCAGGGGGCAAAGTAAGTCCACTGTGCCAGTTATTATGTTATCCCTCAATAAGCAGCTGTCTATGCTCAGCTGTGTGATGCTCGAGCTAAGGCTCTGCAAACATGTCTGCTATGCCACTGGCTCTCTCTTAGGTTTTGCTAACAGGGGGCTCAAGAGAGAAGGCTGGAGGAGGAGGAAAGGGAACACACTCCTTTCTGCTTGCTCCCTATGGGATCCATGTCTGCTTGTGATCCTGTGATTCTCATCTTAACGATCTTCCTCCAGCCATGCTTCTTCACCCTCGCAGCTGGAAGTCCTTCCGTAGCAGCAGCTGAGGCCACTTTGCAGTTGTTCCAGCACAGGCAGCACCAGCATCATCAGATTGCACTTCAGAGATCCCAGCACTTTCTTGCTGCCAGGAAGGTGCCCCTTCCTCAGAAGCCTGGATCCCAGCAAAAATGGTGTCTCCTCTAGATTTACTAGTTTTAATAATGCAAATCCTTCCCTCTGTGCCCTCAGTCCTAGGAAATCTGTTCCTGTGATGCTACTTTGGGGTGCTTTAGTTTTCCTCTTGGCCTTTCAATTTAGTTAACAAAATACATAAATACATAGATAAAATTACTCATGCTCAACAATTGTCAACATTCCATAGTTCCTTTTTATTTAACTCCACTCCTGTCTTGTTGTTGTTATTCGTAGTTATTGCTGCTGAAGAATTTTAAAGCCAATCCCAGATGGTGTGTCTCCCATAAATATCTTTGTGTGTGTCTTTGGAGGTTATTCTTGAGCTAAGAAGGGGATTTTCTCTTAAATCAAGTGACTATTGAAGGTCATGCCCTTAAATCAAGTGAATATCTTTGCAGATAAAGATATTTGACATGGACATGCAGGAGAAAGGGATGCTCCCAGGCCTGCCGTATCAGCAACCAATCAGAACTACTCAATGGAGTGGCAGCTCCTATGACCAGATGGCCTGGGCAGCTAAGTCTGGAGTTCAAAAACCCCAGACTCCCCATCACTTGATGGAGAGTGAGTAATTCTTTTACTTACTAGGGCAGATCACATGTATATTTTTGGCCCCACTTTATCAGATACAACCCATTGTTTCATTGGTTAGATATGACAAAATGACAAAAGTTTGAGTGGCCAACCAACGAAGACTAGTCCTGTGCAATATTGATAGGTTGGATACTGGTAGTTACTGCTACTGCAACATCAGATATGAGCTTCCAAGCACCACTCTAAGGAATAGAGGGACTCTCATTTGCCAAATACATTGACAAGTAATCCAAAAATACACTAAACCTTTCTGAGATTGAAAACTGAAGAAAAGAGATTGTCATGAACTCAAAAGACCTTTTTGATAAAAAGAAAAGTGTTAGCATAACTTTGACTTGGAGGAAGAGCATTGTGGCTCTATGAAGCAGCCCACAGCTTGGCCTTATGCCCAAGATCCTTGTTTAGCAGATGCTAGAGAGGAGATGCCCAATTCCCCAGCTCCTCCTCCACTATGATCTTTTCAGAACCTTTAAAAAATCTGTGTCACAGCAGATAAGAACTTAAGGGTGATCTCTTTTCCTGGTGCTGTCTCTTTGTTCTCCTGGAGCTTACCTGAACGGGAATTCACCACCAGGGTTTTGAATCTCCTGGTAAGTTCCACTCGATGGTTGACTAGCATCATTACTACCTTAGCATGGTCAGGTGCTTGCTGTCTCCTCTTTCAATATTGGTTTTGAAGGGTCACCTAAGCAGCCTTCTTTACCAAATGACCAAAAACTGCAATTTTCCTAATTCCACAGCTAGACAAGCCCTGGAACCAACCGAACTCCCAGCCGCCAGGCTGCAGTGCAAGAGCTAAGAGTAGTTTGGAGAAAGCCACATGTGCTTAAGAGAAGTCAAAGAGGCAAATTCAATAGAGGGAGCAATGCACAGGGCCCAGGATCCAGAAACCTGGAGCAGGATACAGGTATTACAGACCAGAAGTAGGTTTAGAGGGCCAGGGGAAGCTGATGGGGAATGGGAGAGAGGAGGTGGGAGACAGGGAGACGGATAGTTTCCTGGGCTGTTTGGTCCCTTTCTTGGGTGATACTGCATTTATCTGCAAGGCACAGAATTTGTTGATGAAGAACACAAACATTGGAGCCCCAATGCCAGAACCTATATTCTGGATGTACCAGCACACTAGCTATTTACTCCAAACAAGTACCTGAACCTTCTGTAACTCAGTTTCCTTATCTATACATGGGGGATCATTATAATGTTTTTCTCATAGGCAGTTGTGAAGATGAACTGAGTTGCCATGTGTAAAGTGCATAGCATAGCACGTAGTACACAGTAAGCACTGCATCCGTGTCAGTTATGATCACCTCTAAGCCCTCAGGGCCTCAGCCATGGGTGAGAAGTGGTTATGGAAACAGAAATGCCTCAAACTGGCACCCATAATGCTTATTAAACATGTTACGGGCAGCTTTCACATGCCCAACCTGCTGAGGTTGCAGAGCAGCCCTTATGATCTTTATTCTACACAGGAGAGGCTGAGACTCAGAGAGGTTAACTTGTTCTGACTCACACAGCAAGCTGGTGGCAGAATTCCTAAGATGTAGCACTATACATACTTTCTGCTCCACTTGCATCCTCCCTCCTCCTCTGCCCCCTTAGCCTTCATGGAATTGTGGGCATCCCTAAGACCATGCCTGGTGAAATCGGCATCAATTTAATAAAAAGCAGAATGCAACGCAAGAGGCAAATGCCTGACTGGCTTCTGAGGGGCTGAGCAGTGACATGCTACTTATAGGACCTTTCTATGCAGCTGCTCTGTGGTCCCAGGACCCCTGTGGGGTCCTGAGCAGCTGTGATCCAAACTCAGGAGCTGCTGCTACTCTTGGAAGCTTTGGTGCTCCTGGGCCACAGATGTACTGGACAGAAATCACAAGGTCAAGGAAGGAGACTCAAGCCCAGAGTCACCTCTACTGTGCCCAGCATAGTGCTCAGCACAAAACTGGCCCCTTTAGCCACTCATTTATTTACAGGTAAACGGGGGCATTTGAGTATATAATCTCAATGCAAAAGGCTGCATTTCTCTTATACGAAAAGACCCTTGAGAGTTTATATGTGAAAGGAGAAAAAGAAGAGGAGGAGGGGGGAAATAGAAACCAAAAACTCAATTCTTTTCTTTTCTTTCTTTAACAGGTTCATATTTGCTGTTCTGTTGTTCTTGGTCGTGGCAGTAATTCAAAGTCTCAAGTATGCAAAAACCAGTTGGAAATGTTTTAAAAGGGCAGCCAAGTAGGCATTTCTCTTCCAAATAACAAGCTTGATTCCACTGTTGGATTTTTAAAAAACTTTTATTTATCTTCACCAATTATTTAACTTTGATTTTCATGCCTTCTCACTGAATAAATATTCCTAAATAGGTTAAAATAACAGAGAAATGAAATCATCTAAAGACATTAGTCACACAGTGTGCTCTGGTGATAAGACTCCTGGACTGCATGAGGAAAAAGTGTTGCTTCTGGCCCTGCCATGAAGTTGTTGTGTGATCGTGGAAGCCGTTCACCATCTCTGGACCTGTTCCTTCCCCTGTCAAATTAAATGGGGAGGGCTCTCAGGTGGGCAATTACTATTTTTTTGATGTTCACTTTCTATCTCCTTTTTCTTTTGGTAATGAGACCCTGTATTTCCTTTGGGGAACCACCCCTCTTCTACAGTCAGTCATTTAGTTCAGCTGGGGGACCACCATGAGCTTGAGATGTGGGATCCCCTCTGTGACAGTGGGAGTTGGAAAGGATGCTTCTCATAGCATGAAAGGATAACTAGAAACAACATTTTTATGAAAGTAAAAATGGCTAGCAAGTCAAACTATTTCTTATCTCCTGTATTAGTCAGCGACTGCTGCGTAACAAATTACTATGAACTTAGCAGCCAGAACAACACACACTTATTATCTCAGTGTTTCTGCAGGTCAGAAGCCTGGGCATGGCTCATCTGGGTTCTGAGCTTCAGCATCTCACTAGGCTGAAGTCAATGTGTTGACTCAGCTGCAGTGTCATCAGAGACTCAACCAGGGAAGGATCCACTCCCAAGCTCCCTCAGCTTGTTGGCAGAATTCATTTCCTTCTTCTTGCAGGGTTGAGGCTTTGCATTCTTGCTGAAGCTGCTCTCAGCAATGGCAGTTTGCCTGCAGTTCCTTGCCATATGGGCTTCTTCACCATGGCCACTTACTTCATGTCAGATTTTTCAAGGCCAGTAAGGGAGAGTACAGTATGTCTGCTCCTAAGAGGGAGACTTATATATATGGTAACTTAATCATAAAGGGACATCCCATTATCTCTGCCATATCCTGTTAGTTACAAGTAAGTCCCAGGTCCTGCCCACACTCAAGGGGAGGAGAGTACCCAGAGGCATGATCCCAGAAGGTGGGTGTCTTTGGGGGTCACTTTGGGTCTTTCCACTACATTCTCCATTGAACCTTCTATGTGGAAAGACTGACTTGACATGTCAATGAATATTTAATGCCTTCTCCATTCCATTTGGTAAGTGTCTCCAAGTCTTGGACTGACACTGCCCTTATTGTACATACTGTTCAATGGTTTTATCTTGAGTTCCTTGTGATTTTATTGTAGTAAAAGGCCATTTATGGAATTCCACTCTGTAGCATGCATTGTTGTGTTCAGGCGCCAATGTATTTGCTTTCATTTTAACACTTGGGTTTAGTGGATGGAGTTTCTCCTGGGCAAATCTGTGACCCAGGAAACACAGCAACCTGGTTGGTGCTAGTGTGTGACAGAGCCCTGTGTCTTTGTGTTTACCCGTCTGTGAGATTATCCCATTAGTGGGACACTCCTCAGTAGAAGACCTTTCTCAGCAGGGGGCTGATCCCCAGGTCACAGAATGGATGTTTTCATATCCTCCATTTGTGTTATGCCAGAGCAGCGGTGATAGATGATGAGAGCCGGAAGTCCTCTTCTTTAACTTCCCATGCTTCCATACCTTCCATCAGCACTGAGATTTTTAGATTCTCCTGTGAAAAGACTTTCAAGATCTGCTTTTCTTATCTCTGATTAAACCAGAAAGAAAATGACTTGACCAGGGTTGAGGAGAAGGAGGAACAAAGGGAAGGGTGTTTGAACCAGGAAGGGTTGGGGGAGAAACAAAAACACGTTTGCTCCTGCTGCATGGAGCCATCTATGGCTGTTTCACAGCTTGAAGAAATGCACACCCAACAAATAGGAGTCTGTGGAAGACTGAAGATTTATGGTCATTTTTCAGTTGGGAAGATAATAAAAAAAGAGAGCCGTTACTTTTTATAATGGCTAGGCTGTTTTTCATTAGTTTTAATAAACCTTTCCTTTCCCTAACTTTTCTTCTAAACAGTTACTTGGACCTTTAACAAAAAACAACTTTTTATTTTAGAATAGTTTTAGATTTACAGGCAAATCACACAGATCATACAGAAGGTTCCACGTTCCCTGCTCCCCTAACTTTCTGTCCAGCCCTGCCCATTGCCCAGTGCCAGGCTCATGCAGGTCATCAATACCATGCTCCTAGGGAGACAGAGCTAGAGACAGCCTCTTTTCCTACTTCCTTCTTAGCATGTAACTGTCTCACAATTTCTGAAGATCGAGAGTGATGTTGGAAGAGGGAAATGAGGGACGGGAAGGAGGTACAATAAATTCTTTAATATTCCCAAATGTGATTTTAATGTCTAATTTCAGCCCCCGTGTCTGGAAATCTTTACAGAAACTGCTAGCAAGTGTCCAGAACGAGGGACACCCCGTAGTCCTTGTTCCTACAGGAGAGGGCACTCCTCCTTGCCAGTGGGAGTGGCTACATGAGGCCTTTGGTTTGCTGTCAGCTTGGCTCTGAGGCTGGTTTGGGGAGCCAATGATGGATGAATTTTCTGCAGAGCTTCCCATCATCCACAAAGGCCCAGAAAATTCTCTGTTGCAACTTGTTGGCAGCAGTGCTAAGACCCTTTGAGCAAAAGACAGGTCATGCTCACCTTTAAGAAGAGGTTGTAGGCTTTCCCCCTTGACTTGGAAGGAAAAAGGAATTCCAAATCTCCAGGATAAGATGGACCTCAGAGCCATTTTTAAACTTCTCATGCTCAAATTCCTCTACTGCAGTCAAAACAGCATGCCATTGGCATAAAGATAGACAAATAGATTAATGGAACAGAGTAGAGAGTCCAGAAATATACTCACACATATATGGACAACTGATTTTTGACAAAAGATGCTGGAACAGGTGCAAAAAAAAAAAAAAAAAAAGGAGAAGAAGAAGAAACTTAGCTCCTTGAATCCATAATTTAAAGTGTGTTCAAAAACTAACAAATGTTGGGTGCGGTGGTTCATACCTATAATCCCAGCACTTTGAGAGGTCGAAGCAGGTGGATCACTTGGGCCCAGGAGTTTGAGACCAGCCTAGGCAATAAGGGGAGACCCCATCTCTACTAAAAGAAATACACAAAATTAGCCAGGTGGGGTGACGTGCACCTGTAGTCCCAGCTACTCGAGAGGCTGAGGTGAGAGAATCACCTGAGCTCAGGAAGTTGAGGCTGCAGTGAGCTGAGATCATGTCACTGCACTCCAGCCTGAGCAATGGGAGTGAGACCCTAAAAAAACAAAAACCAAAAGCTAACAAATGAGATTATAGACTTAAATGTAAAATCCAAAACTATAGCATTTCTACAAATTATAGGAGAAAACCTTTGTTACCTTGGGTTAGGCAAAGAAAGATTTCTTACATACGGTGTCAAAAGCACCATCCGTAAAGTAACAAAGTGATGAACTGTACTTTATGAAAATTAAAAACTTGGCCATTGAAAAGGCTCTGTTAAGACAACGAAAAGATAAGCAATAAATGGGCAGAAAATATTCGCCAAGCATGTATGTGAAAAGGACTTTATCTAAAATATATAAAGAACTCTCAGAACTCAACAATGAAGAAACAAACAAGCCCATTTAAAAATGGGTAAAAACTTTGAACAGACGCTTCACAAAGAAGATATATGGGTGGCAAATAAGCACATGAAAAGCTGTTCTACATCATTAGACATTATCAGTAAAACCACAGTGAGATACCACTACATACCCATTAAGATGGCTGAAATTTAAAAGTCTGATGATACCAAGTGTTGGCAAAGATGTAGAAAAACTGGAAGTCTCAGACACTACTGATGGGAATATAAAATGGTACAACCATCTTTGCAAGTAGTAGACCCACCATGTATTCCATGCATTCCATCCATTCCACTCCTAGATACTTACCCCCCAAAAACTGATAAATGTCCAACGATAGGTGAATGGATACACTGGTATACCCATACAGTGGGATATTATTCAGCAATAAAACTGAGTGAACTATTGATACACAGGAGACAAATGTCAAAATTATGCTGAGCAAAAGAATCCACATAAAAAGGAGTACATACTATATGGTTCCATTTATATTAAATTAGAAAATTCCCTCTAATCTATGGAGACAGAAGACAGATCAGTGGTTGCTTTCGGGGGGCAGAAAGGTATACAAAGGAGGGACAAAGGACAGTTTTGTGGGGGATGGATGCGTTCACTATCTTGATGGTGCTGATGGTTTTACGGGTGTATGCATATGTCAAAACTTACCAAGCTGTTCAGTTTAAATGGACAATTTATTGTATATCAATAAGCAAGTCATTGCATGTTAATGATACCCCAATAAAGCTTTTTAAATTAAAAAAAAAAATCCCTTACTGAACCACTGCCAAGAGCTTTTCAGCAAAGCTCCCTTTATCAAAATCAGAGATAAGGCGGTGCCAAAACTGCAAATAAAATGGAGTCATTTGTACTGAATAAGAGGAAGTTTTCCAGTCACATGAGTTTTCTCCAGAGGGATTCAGTCAGTGGGACTGGGCCAGGGTGAACAGCAGGGCTGGCAGGTCAGCAAGTCCAAGAGGCTTCACTCCATCTTCAAGTTGAGTGTTCTCATCGCTAAGATGGCAGCCTTGGATAAGATGACCTTTAATACCCAAGACTTCATGGCAGTGGAAACACTGAGCATTTTCTATTGGTCTGGGTTGGGTTTCGTTCTCCACCAGGCACCGGCACTAGTGCTGGCCTTTGCGGCCCTCAACTCCTTGGCATGTGTGTCCTCAGGGTCAACATTAGCCCCTTGCGCCTGTGGGGAGGATTCATGGAGTGGTGTCAAAGAGTGCCTGGCTTGTTTTCTTCCTTTTCCTTATTCTAGTGGGAATGAAGTTCAGTCCAAGTCAGACATGCCAGAAATTGATTTTTTCTTTACTTTTCTGGTACTGAATTTAATTTCTACTTTGAGCCATCGACCCACTGTTGAGTAGAAATCAATTAATTTGGTTGGTGCCCTTCCTAAGAGTAAGTTCTAAGTTGAGGAAAGTTTATGTGGAGGCCTCTGGGCATGACGCTTGCTGGGGTCTTGTCCTCATCAGGGGCTACTCAGCAGTCGGTGCCCTCCACCTTCCTCTAGCTGAGCACCCACGGCTCATGATTCGATCTTCCCAGTGCAGCCTAAAGCCTCTTCAGGTTCAGCTCTCCTTGGTGTCTTCCACGCTCAGAAGTCTGAGGCATGTGACACAGTGGCTCATGCCTGTAATCCCAGCACTCTGGGAGACTGAGGCGGGTGGGTTGCTTAGGGCCAGGAGTTTGAGACCAGCCTAGGAAATACAGGGAGACCCCATCTCTACAAAAAATAAAAATAAGAAGTTAAAGGCATGGGCTTCAGAGACTGTTTGGATGGGAGGAAGGTCCCACATTTCCCAGCAAAGGCAGGAACTTTGTTTTTGCATCTGAAAACAACAGTGGGCATTAATTAAAAATAGTTTGACTCAGATCGGGCATGGTGGCTCACACCTGTAATCCCAGCACTTCGGGAGGCTGAGGTGGGAGGATTATCTGAGGTCAGGAGTTCAAGACCAGCTTGGCCAACATGGCGAAAACCCATCTCTACTAAAAATACAAAAATTAGCTGGGTTTGGTGGTATGCGCCTGTAATCCCAGCTCCTCAGGAGGCTGAGGCAGGAGAATCACTTGAACCCGGGAGGTGGAGATTGCAGTGAGCCAAGATCGTGCCACTGTACACCAGCCTGGGCGACAGAGCAAGACTCAGTCTCAAAAAATAAATAAATAAATAAATAAAAATAAAAATAGTTTGTCTCATAGGGTTGTTGTGAAAATTAAAGCAGTCAGTACTTAGAGCAATGCCTGGAATACTGTGAGTCTTCTGTAAATGACGTTTATTTTGTCACACTGGAGTCAGGGGAGCTTGTCTGCCCTTCTTCCTGGGCTCCTGGTTCCTTCAGGCTCTACCCAGGAAAGGTGGCTCTTGGGCTTCTGATCTTTTCTCTTCAAAATGATCCGGGGATTCTAGGGATGGAGAGGGCAGGGCTTCCATCTTTAGAGAGGTCTAGCTCCAGAAATCTTCATCCAGACTTGGGGAGAAAGTGCAAGAGAAGAAAGCCTTGCTACTCCTTGTCGTGCATTCTCCGAAAAAAATACATTCAAAAATATCTCCACCAGTCTTTCAAAATGCAAGGCCAATTACTACCCCTTTTCTGTCTGCGTTCTACCATCCTTTGAATGAGCCACAGGTGGGGGTGCCCTGGGTGACTGCATGTGGGTGGCTCAAGGACACAGGGAAATGGAGGGGGAAGCCCTGACTAACAGGTCCAAATGTTAACTTCCATCTGGTTCTCTGTGGGCTAAGAGGAGGCACCTAGTGCTAAGAAGCTGCCAGCAGAAGATGCCCTGGCAGCCTGACCACCCACAAGTCCTGACACTCGGATGGCCGCAGTCCACTCCTCCTGCAGGAGACAGGACCTACTGTGTTAGAGTCTCTGGTGGCAGGTGCTCGGGAGATGGGCATCACCTGTCGTGTAACACCCTTTGCAAAGACCGGGAGACATGGTGAGGATGGCCTGAAAGTCAAGTCAACTTCTATTCCATTTTCTCCTGGGGACGTGCAATGTGCTCTAAGGGCAGCCTAGTGGGTAGGCTACCAATGTTTTGGAAGATAATTCAAACTGAAAACGTTATATTGAAGCACGATGTCATTCTGCCATCTTGTGGCAGTATCATTCTCTGGATTCTGTGGTGATTGTGGTCTGTGGCTGTTAGAGATGTGGACTTACCCTGATGAGGACAAGTGCTTAGCCCTGCATGATGTCTTACTAACTACCATTAGGCTTTCTATGAAGAATGGATTATTTAAATAGGAAATCTATCATTAAGATGAATCTTTGAGGTGTATGAAACTTCAAATATTCATTTAGCAAATATTTATCTTCCTATATGCATGGAGCAATCCTAGGCTCTGGTGAAAAATGTGTAATTATAGTCTCCGTCTTCAATGAGCTTCAATGAGCTAGAGAATAAGGACAGTTTTCACACATACCTGTAATACAAGGCAAAAAGAAATAAATGTGTGTTATATGAGGAGCTCTGGATAAATGGAAAGAAGTTAACAGCACTGGACACTGGGAAGGGTGATGAAGAAAGTGGTGTTTGAGTCCAGGGAGTCACTGAATATCTTTGAGTAAAGGAGGGACATAAGAAAATCTGTGTGGCAGGAAGGTCACTGGGCTACTAGCTACTAGAGCAGTGATCCGCAAACTTTTTGATCAAGCACCTCTAACAAACCAACCAACCAAACCAACTAAGTGAGCATGCAACCAAACCAAAGCATTTTACTTAAGAATATAAACATTTATGGATCTAGCATGTACAAATTAAGATGTATATTAAAATAAAGAGATTAAAGTGATTTAAAAAAATAGTAGCCCAAGTATTTTCTTCTTGCATCCTATTGGATGTCCGGGTCCCCTGACTTTGAAGATTGCTGTTGTAGACCAGTTTGGGCAGGAAAATAGGGAAAAGAGAATCAGAAAGACCCTCGCAGGCCATGATGATAGTGATAGCGCAGACGAGAGATCACCTGGACCCAGGTAAGGTGGAGATGCAGGCAATGTAAGGTAATGGACAGACACTCAGAGACAGAAGTAGAGAATTGCCAGGAGCTTAGGGAGAGGGAACTGTTCAAGGTCATTCTGGGTTTGAGGTTTTGTTTTGTTTTAAAGTCTTACGCTATTGGAAAGATGAGGATTCATTTTAGAGAGAGTACAGGGGTAAAAGGCAGGTTTGTGAAGAAGATGGTGAGTTTGTTTTGTATAAGGTGAGGTTTTTGCACCAGTGAAATCTGTTTGTCTGTCCCCAGAAATCTGGAGATTTAGGACTGGACTCAGAAAAGGAGTCCCGAATGGAGCAGTGTCATCTGATTCAGATGTGATGTCAAACTTCAGGAATGTGTGAGGACACCCAGGGCAAGAGTACAGAGTGAGAAGAAAACAGAGCCAAGGACGAACCCACAAGGACACTGGCATCTAAGCGTGTTGTAGCTCAGGGTTCCTTGAGAAGTAGACTATGAGATAGAAACTTATGAGCAGGAAGTGTATTGGGGAGTGTTCCAGAATCAACAACCGTAAGGAGGGAGGATTGCTGGATTGGGTGGAGAAAGAAGTGGAAGTCTGATGTGGTTTCAACAGAGGCCTCAGCTGATCTCGTGAGGAGCTCTGAAATGAGGAGGGCCCTTCGAGGGATGGCTGTGGTGCGCTGAACTGGGTCCCCTGGTTCCCACCAGCTGGATTCCTGAGTCAGCTGTGTGGATCTCCTCCCAACTCCTCATTCAGTGATGTCAGGTTGATCTTGACATTGGCACAGTGGGAATATTTACACCATGAAAATTGCCCAATATTACAAACCAGGGCTTCCCCCATCCACCAGGAACAACTTGTTAAATATGTACCAGTATACACATTTATGTCCCTAATGAAGAGGGGAACTAAGTCTCTGCATCTTTTCATAAACTGATCATTGGATGCAGGCTGCCCCTGAGGAGAAGATGTTACTTTGGATGGGGTAGCCGCTTTCAGCTGAGGACTGTACCTAGAGAAGAACATAGCTGTGAAGCATAAAACATTTCCTAAATCTGGAGAAATTAGTGTCTTTGAATGTGAAGGGTGAATATGAACAACATACCACAGCATCCACTACAGCCTACCTTTTGCCCAACTGCTTCATATAGTGATTTAATCTCATCTAGAAACAGCTACTTCAGGATCTTAGTTACTCTCTTTTCCTGGGTAAATTTATGACAGTAATATTGGTTGCTATGGTTTGAATGTCCTTCTCCAAACTCATGTTAAAATTTAATTGCCGTTATGACAGTATTAAGAGGTGGGACCTTTAAGGAGCTATTAGGTCATGAGGGCTCTGCCCTCATAAATGGATCAATGCTGTTATTGCAGAAGTGGTTTTGCTATTGCAGGCATTCAGCCCTCTTCCTCTTTTTCTTTACACTCACTCACCCTCCCACTTTCTGCCATGGGGTGACACAGAAGGCCCTCACCAAATGTGGGCCACTTGACCTTGGACTTCCCAGCTTCCAGAACTGTGAGAAATAAATCTCTGCTCCTTATAAATTACCTAGTCTGTGGTATTCCATTATACCAGCAGAAAACAAAACAAAAAGAAAATTGGTACCAGGAGTGGGGTTGTTGCTGTAACAAATATCTGAAAAGTGGAAGTGGCTTTGGAACTGGATAATGGGTAGAGGCTGGAAGAATTGGGAGGAGAAGGCTAGAAAAAGCCTACAATGCCATTAATGGCAAATCTGGTGAGGGCGCAGAAGAAGACCCCAGAACTACAGACAGCCTAAATCTTAGAGATTACTTAAGTGATTGTGATCAGAATGTTGGTATAAACAAGGATAGTAAAGGCCATTCTGATATCTCAGATGGTATTGGGAACTGGAGTAAAGGCCATCCCTGTTATATGGTTGCAAAGAACTTTGCAGGATTATGTTCTTGTCCTAGGACTTTATGGAATACAGAATGTAAGAGTAATGAGCTAAGATATTTGGTAGAAGAAACTTCTAAGCAACAGAGAATCAGGCTGCTGTGTAGCTACTTTTAAACACATCCAGTGAGATGTGAGAGGCCAGAAATGACTTAAAGACAGACTTTTGTAATGAAAAGAAAAGAAGAATGGAAAGATTTCAGAAATTTGCAGCCTGGCTATGTGAAGAGTAGAAAGGTGTGTTTGGGAGAGCAAATCAAGGGTATGGTCAAGCAATTGTTTGCTTAAGAGATTAGTATGAACAGGAAGGAAGCCAGGTGCTATTCATCAATACAATGGGAGAAATACCTCAAAGGCATTTCAAAGATCTTTGAGGTTGTCCCTCCCATCACAGGCCTAGGGCATCTAGGAGGGCAGAATGGTTTCAGAGGACAGGCCAGGGCACTGTCCATGGGTTCACTGGCCAGGGCCACTTCAGGACTCTGCTCTCTGCATTCCAATATAATACCCCTCATCTGTCCCAGCTGTGGCTCAAGCAGGCTCAGGTGCAGCTTGGACTCCACAAGGTGCAAGCAGTAAACCTTGGTGGCATTCACATGGTGTTAAGTCTGCAGGCTTACAGAAGAAAGAGATATGGGAACATAGCAACCTTCACTTAGGTTTCAAAGAATGTTCAGACAACATGGGGGCCCAGGCAGAAACTTGTTTCAGGGGTAGAGCTACCACAGAGATTTCCTACTAAGGCAATGCCTAGTGAAGCCATTGGAACAAGGCCAGCCCTGAGAGTCCTCACAAGGGTAATGCCTGATGGGAATGGCATCACCATTGAGACTCCAGAACTGTAGCTACCAGTGTGCGACACCAGCCTGGGAGAGCTGCAGTCATGAGACTCCAACCTGAGAGAGCCGAAGTGTAGACTGAGCCCAGCAAAGCCATGTGGGTGAGGCTGCCTGAGGCCTTAGGGGCTCAATCTCTCACCCAGTGTGCTCTCTGTCTTGCATGCTCATTCACCCTTTCATCTTCTGCTATTAGGTGATACAGCAAGAAGGCCTTCACCAGATGCTGACACCTTGATTTGGGATTGCCCTAATGTAGCATTCCCAGCCTCGAGAACTGTAAGAAATGAATTTCTTTTCTTTATAAATTACCCAGTCTGTGGTATTCTGTTATAGCAGCATAAAACAGTCCAAGACATTAGTCTCCTTTGCTGCAGGTGAGGCCACAATCACTATTCATCATCTCTCTCCTTTAGTAGCTATTCTAGATCTCCCTCCCACTCAGCCAGCACCTGTGCTGGTCTGGTAACCTTACATGACCCTGGTAGGGTGATCTAAACCCTCATCTCTAGGGGTTGGAAATCTTGGTAATCATGCCCTTCTCAGGCTGTGGCTGCTGCATCATGTCTAATCGCTATTAGAATTGGGCAAAGAAATACCAAGAGACACCCTCATGAACTGCCAGTGTACAAATATGTTCTTCCACGACCCCGACGTGTGAGGGCAGACCCTGCTGCTGGTCTGATGAATCCTTTCCTTTGCAGCTGCTCTCTTGGCACCAAGAGACATGATGGCAGCTGTGGCCCCAGTGAAAGCGTTCCTTTTCTGGGAGCCAGGGCCTCTCACCCCACAAATACAGAATCCTCCTGGAGTTCATTCATCCAAACTTTAGGAAGTGTGTTCCATGCACAGTGCTCTTCAGGCTACGAGAAAATGAGCCTGGGTTCTGTTTGGCGGGAGGTGAACCATTAGGAACCATTGGACTCAGAACAGAACCCATTGAAATATGCCCCAAAGTGTTGCCTGTGGTGAGTGGAGATTCTCTTCTCTCACTAACTAAGAAGACTAAGAGAAGAGAAGCCTGAAAAATGTGATTTCTTCTGTCTCAGCAGGGCCTGGTCGGGAGTCACTGGGCCCCCTCTAGAATTAACATCACTGCATGTAAACATTAGGGACAGTATTTTTTTTTTAAATCCTGCCTAGGTATAATGTTTTCTTTTCCATTAGTAAGTAAAGCATATTCTCTTAAGTAAGCTATGCCATGGATAATATGGAATTTTTGTTATAAGCCTTTCCCATTCATCATACTCCCCAACACTGTTTTAGATCTTCCAGTCCTGGTTTTCGGATAATTCCAGGTGCACTATCTCAGAGGTATAAAAATTCCCAAAATGAAATTAATTTTAATTCATTTAAAATGCCACACCACACAGCTATTAAGGATGGAGAAGATTAGAGAGGAAAGAGGAAAATTATCTGCACAAACCAGAGAAAGATGCCATCATTCCCAAAATACTGGGAATGATAACACACTGCTTTGTAGTCCCTAATTGCAATTTCCCAGGGGGTGCTATTTTTAACTCTGTGGCTGAATTGTTGATTCTTTAATGCTTCTCCTGACTTTCCATGGTGTTTACCACAACTAAGGAATGGTAAGGGGCTGGCGAATAACAAATGATGAATGGAATCACTTGATTCTTACCTGAGAAAAGGTCACAGAGAACTTCCTATATGAACTTGATTTTCAGCTCTGTGATGAATAGGCCACGATAGATTATCCTACAGTATGACCCAATCTTGATGTTAGGCCATGTAACAAATGTCTAATCTAAAAATTTCCTCCTGGCATTTATCTCTCATTTCTCTCTCTGTGCTTAGGAAAAGTGGAAAATAATCACTCATTGGAAATTATCTTCTCATTCATTGATTTATTAACTATTTCAATGAATTCCTCATACATGTATTACGCTAGGCATTTGCATATAATCTCGTGAATCAAACATATAAATAAACAAGTAACTATAAAGTGTGAAATGCTATAAACTTAAGAAAAAAAAAAAGAATGTTGAGATAAAGAATGAGATGTGCCCAGAATAACTATTTAACCCAATTGCAACTGACCTCACCAAATCTGAGAAGGAGCTGGTATGGGAAATACCATTTTTTCTAGAAGAAACTGTACACACATAAACCCCAAGGTAGGAAAGAGCTTGGCAAGTGTGCCTGTCAAAAAGGAGACCCAGTAGGACAAAAGCTTGGTTAGAGATGGAGAGGTGGAACCAGAGTCTTAAAGGCCTGAGGCCAGAGTTTGGATTAATTTACAAATGCAAAGGAAACAATTACAATAATTTTAGCAGGAGATCGACAGTAACCCACAAAAGCCATAAATTCCCCCATCCACAAACTCAGGTGTGCAGAAATGTGACTTCTCTAAAACTGAATTCAACTTAGCCAACAACTTTTTTTTCTTCTGATGGAGGAGATCTATGTCTTGCCATGCTTCAATTGTCTCCAGTTTACTAGAGTTTCTTTTGAGAAACCACTCAGCTAACCCAAGATTCTTTCCAGCCTCTCCCCTTCTTCCTTTCATCCCAGGTGGTGCCTGGGTTCAGGTGAGATGACTACAAAGGGACCTGAAATAAGCCTCCAGAGATACCCCTCTTTTGCCAACAATTAGGGCCTTGGTGCCAACACAAACATGCCTATGCTCACTCAGCCTCGCCAGGTGAGCGGGAATCTCTGTGGAGTCTCCTTTCAGATTTTGAATCTCCCTGATTTTTGGTTTGAGATTCAAACTTTACTCAACTGACCTGACTTCACACCTGACAGGGCTGGAACTGAAGTTCTGTTTTAAAGCTTTAAGGTGGGAGCTTCGCTTGTTAATCTCTAGAAATTCTGCTGACTGCGGGTTTGTGATTTTCACTTTTCTCTGAGGTTCAGGTATTGTGTGTCTTACTCATTAAAGTTTACAACCTTTTCTCTTGGTCAAAGAGAAAACAGTTTTCTCTGAAAAGAGAAAGTGATATCCTTGTGGCTTAAGTGAAAAATTTGTAATCTGTAAAACTGGTGGGATTCTGCGACTTAGTGCAATTGACAGATCTAAAATTTCTTCTTGAGTGACTGAAATTCCTCCCACTAGGTCTTTTTGGTCTTTCAAAGGAAAATCTAAATTATGGACAATTATACTACTAAAGGAGAGATGTGCCTTTAGAAATACTGCCTGGATGCATGTGCAATACTAATAATACCTCTTCATTCATATAGTCACAAAAATGGTCTCACATAACTTATGAAGACCCCAAGTTACAATGGCCAAAATGGGGTATCTTTAAAATACCTAAAGTAGTTTATCTGTGCACTCAATCAGAAAATGCTGTTTGAAATAAAACAAAATAACGTATAGAGCTATCTTCAATGTACTTAGAAGCTTCTAGGCCAGGTGTGATAGCTCACACCTGTAATCCCAGGATTTTGGGAGGCTGAGGTGGAAGGATCACTTAAGCCCAGGAGTTCAAGACCAGCCTGGGCAACATAGTGAGACTCCATCTCTATTTTACAAAGCTTCTAATAAAGTCTTTTATTTGCAAGAGGAAAACATTTGTCTACAACAATTTCTGAATTGAAAAAAGACTGCCAAAATTGATTTTCAGTTAGGTTCTCTTTAGGGAACATGTTTTCCTTTTGGTTCCCTCAGCTCCCATCCACCTGACAGGCAGAGACTTTTAGAAATTATACAACACACCTATCTCTTTCTCCCCAAAGGGGGACAGTTATCCCGTGTGGTTGTTAATAAATTGCATGCCATTTCCCCCATTAATCTGTTTTTGTGAGTTGATTTTTTTCAGCGAACATTCAGAGGGTGAGGGGAAAGTTTTCCCATGGCCCCTGCAGCTTTAGCGCTATGAGCAGAGTACCTAACCTGCTCTGCTCTAAGCCACAGTGAAGGGAACCCAGGACCTGACAGGCCAGCAGAAGGGTAAGAACGTCTTACCAGCCAGCCTCCCTGTCTTTCATTTTGTGGAATCTGGTTGAGCGGACAGTAAAACCATGTTTGTCTCTTTTTCCTCTGCAAAATGTTGGCTAATGAGAGGAAAGGATTTGTATGACTAGTCTTGGGTATAGCAATCTTGGTGTACTTCTTGGTACACATATGGGATCGAGTTGCTCTTAGAATAAGTACATCATTAAAAATTCTAATCATCAGTGGTCACGAGATGGATCCTTTGAATTATAATAACATATATATATATATATATATATATGTATATATGATCTCTCATTCTAAACAAATTGCCTATTTGTACTTATGGGAAGATCAGATTTTTTTTTTCTTTTGAGACTGAATCTTGCTCTGCCACCAGGCTGCTGGACTGCAATGGCATGATCTCGGCTCACTGCAACCCCCGCCTCCCAGGTTCAAGCGATCCTCCTGCCTCAACCCCCCAGGTAGCTGGGATTACAGCCACCTGCCACCATGCCTGGCTAATTTTTGTATTTTTAGCAGAGACGGGGTTTCACCATGTTGGCCAGGCTGGTCTCAAACTCCTGACCTCAGGTGATCCACCTGCCTTGGCCTCCCAAAGTGTTGGGATTACAGGCGTGAGCCAATGTGCCCAGCCGAGATCAGATTTTCTAAAAGACACATAATGGTATCATGGCCAGCTTTAGAAATTCTCTTCACAAAAGTAAAGAGCAAAAATTTGACCAAAAACAAAGTTAAAATCCTTTGTAAGCTCAAGGTGCCTGCTTCAGATGCCCTGTGGGATTCACAGTGAAAGCTGCTCCACCTGGAATTCTGGAAGGTGAAATCCTGTACCTTCACTGCCATGGCCTTAGTCAGAGAACCATCCCTTTGGTTTGGTATTTTGGTGACTTTTGGCTTTGGGGATACCTGTTTGTTATTGACCCTGTTCCCTTTCATGGACAGCTTTTAGTTTCTCGTCTTTCCATTGGTGAGACACAGGGGGCCTTCGGGCCTTCAGGCCTTCATGTGTAGGTGCTCAGCTGCCCACAAAGCCGGACAGAATGTGAGTTGTACGCCATTTGTGGTTAGTGAAACTATCCTTTCATTGAGCTGTCTTTGGGGTGGTTCTGAATCTTGTGAGGACTGCTTTGCCCCTCTTCGGAGACACCTCATGAGTTCTTGATTAAATTACAACCTTGGTTAAGGCTTATTGGTTTTGGTAATTCACTTGGGAGGGTACTTGGGTGAAAAAAAAAAAAAAGCTCAAAAGCCAGGAATCTCATCTGTTTGTCTCAGCAATAATCTGATAATAAGAGATTTTTAAAAGAGTTTTTAAAAAGGAGCTGTGGCCAGGTGCAGTGGCTTACACCTGTTGTCCCAGCACTCTGGGAGGCTGAGGTGAGAGGATTGCTTGAACCCAGGAGTTTGAGACCAGCCTGGGTAACACAGTGAGATCTGTCTCAAAAAAAAATTTAAAAATTAGCCTCGCGTGGTGGTGCGTGCTAGTGGTCCCACCTACTCAGGAGGCTGAGCGGGAAGGATCACTTGAGACTGGGAGATTGAAGTTGCAGTGAGCTGATTGTGTCACTGCACTCCAGCCTGGGTGACAGAGTGAGACCCTGTCAAACAAAACAAAACAAACAAAAAACTCCACGGTCAAAGTTGGCTGAATTAAAAGCTGATTTTCAAGCCCCTGCTTCTTCTTGCTGTCTTTAGTAGCATATGAAGGAATCTAGAGAGGAATTCTAGTGACTCAGGCCCCTAAAAAAACACAGAAAAAAGTGCCATCCACCCCCTTTCTGGGATCTTCTGTCTTCCCGTGGAGTCTGAGGAGTCGTGGACAGGTAGCTTCCTCTCAGGCCTAAAGCTCGGCTTTCTTTTGCATTGCATGACCTGATCTCTTTGGCTTCTAGGGTACCAGGGATCACTTTGTACTGTGAGAGAACCACCTTTGTGTGTTCGTATTCAGGGCAACTTGAAGCTATGCTCCTGGGTGTCCATTCTCAACCATTGTGCTTGAATAAACTTTTAAAACCAGATTCTGACCTTTTTGATTATTTTAGGCTGATACCTCTGAAGACGTGCACTGCCCTGCAAGACATACATTATTATTGGGGCAACTTTGTTAGTCCTCTTCATCCCAGTCGGGAGAGCCCCTTCGGGACCACTGGCCCCCAAGCTACTGTAGCCATGTCCTTGCCGCCCTGATCCCCGCACCCTGCGAAGCTTCTCTCAAGCCCATCTACCAGAGCATGTACCTCAGGACTGCTGCTACCCAACCACTCAGGTGCCCTGTGGGCCTGGGAATTCTCTTTCGGTTTTGCAGCTTCAATGGCTAAGCGCTCTTGAGTTTTCCTGAAGTTTCTGTCTGGTGTTTATGCTCCTCACTCAGCCCTGGAAGGTAAGGGGCTGGACTCCTTCCCCGGGACCTTCCTGTATCCACACTCCGAATGTCCCTCAGGATCCCTCATCACACTTACAGGATGCACGCTGCCTTTCGGGTGGAAAATGGCTCTGATCTTTATACACATTTCCCACTCTGAAGGTGGAGTTTCCCCATTCCCCAGGGGGATGTGTAACTCTCTGCACTTTCCTGCTGGGAGTTAAACACTGCTTCTGTCGTTTCCCCTCCTCCTGCCCAACCTTCTTCCCCAGGAAGTTTACTTCCACAAGCACCTTCATCTTCTGTTCTAGGGGGATTTTGGAGCATTTGGGGCCCTCGGGTGATGGATTGGAAAGTCTTGAGGCACAGGCTGAGTCAACTAAAACCAGTGGATTGTCAGACAACAGGCCAGGCATCCTCCCCAACAGCAGCTAGAAGTGGGTCTCTGCCAGCCGGTTCCTTCACTCCTTTCAAACACGGGGCTGCCTGACCCTGGCTCTGCGCTCTCTCAATCTTTTGCTTTCCTCTAGAACAGACCTCTTCCTCCCATCCTCCTCCTGTACCAGTGCTAGGAGCAGCAAACCTGCTCTGTGAATCTGCATCTGAATCTTCTTACCTGGCCTTGAGGCTTGTGGCTTCTGGGCCGAATACCAAGTATTTGCCAACACTCAGGGGCCCTCGGGTTACAAGTGAAGGACTTTGGGGCAGCGTGGGATTGAAGAGCTGAGCGGGGAAATTCACTGACAAAAGCTTTGAAAACCTGATTCTAAAGCATCCAAACACTATAAAATGTGCCCGGAGGCTGCAGTGTAGGTGCAGCATAGAGAAAGGCAGAAGGTCATCAGGAGGCTGGAGCTGATGGGGACCTGGCCTGGGGGCGGCTTTGGAGTCTGGAAAGATCAGAACTATAATGAATTGTTTTGGATGCGGAGACTCTGGTGTCCTGTGTGTGCTCTAAGTTAAGGACCTTATTCATCATTTCAAGGACCTCGGAGACTAGTTCTGCATATTTGTGGGATTTATAAATCCTGTTTCAGTCTGTACACCTTTTTCGACCTTTCAGGGTCATCGGCTTTTGTTTTTGTTCTGCCAAGGACTAGCCAGGCCACAGAAATCTTGATGAATGGCAACAGCAAGGCAAAGAAAGCAGCTGTCTTCTATCGACACACCCAGGATCCACCTTGTCTCCTGAACAGTCATCCCCACGGGGAGACCCCCAGAAGGGGTTCCACTTACAAATGATTAAACAGTTAATGACACCTGGGAGTGTGCATTTGCTATTCATTTGTAAAATGGGTCTGATTTCTCTCCTAGCCTAAAGCTGGCAAGTTCCAGTGATGGGAACCCCTGAGCCTGATTCGCCATGGCAGAGGCCACACAAGCTGCCTTCCTCATTCACCAAAAAGGCGAGATTTGCTGGAGGGACGCCAAGGTCAGTGGGGGGACACACTCCCGGTGCCATGTGCCTCCCGCCAAGATTTCCTGTCCCTTTGATGGCAAATCTGCCCCCGTCGTGTGAACAATCACACCATCTGCATGGAGTCTGTGGGACAGAAAATGTACAGCAATAATCCATATATAATGAGTCCCCCTTCACTGCCCCCAGCCTTTGCAACTTCCGTGACCACAATTCCTATAGTACACTCTTGGGAAACAGGAAATCCTTGTAAGAGCTGCACAGTAATCACACTGGAGCTATTTCACAAACTCAAGAACTGAATTGCTTAACAGCAAAGCACAGCTTTTTTTTTTTTAAGGTGCAAAATCAAACGCAGAGCCCAGGGGCAGTTAGAAACAGCTGCCTTTCAGGGACCATTTTCTGGAGTAGCAGCCTGTAACCAAAGACTTTTTTTTAACCTAATGAGATTGATACTTCCATGAGAGTGTCTATAGGCCTGGCATGGTGGGAAGACGTTGTTCCTGCTTGTTTGGCAACAGTTATTTTTTAGGACAGTTGGCAGGACCGACTTAAACAGACCTGTCAGAAAAATGTATCATAAAATCAAAGGGCACCCTCTTGCTGCTCAAATGGTTTTCTCACAAAGATAACGAGGGTGGTGGAGTGACTTATGGATATGGTGAGATGATGTCAAGTGATGCTAAGTGCAGGTAGCCACAGAAGCATCCAGGTCCGAGGTTCCCAAACCTTTTGGTTTCAGCACCACTTTGCACTCTTAAAATCAAAGAGATTTTTTAAAATGTGAGTTGTATCTGTTGATATTTACCATAGTCAAGATTATAATGGAGAAAATATAAACACACAGGAATACTCAAGCCTGTGTGCCATTAGCGGAGAGGTGACATCATTACACATCAGATTGCCTCTGGGAAACAACACTGCTCACATACGTGCAAATGACAGTGAAGAAAGCGAAAGGTGTCTTGCAGTATTATAAAAATAGCTTTGACCTCACAGATGCTTTGAAAGGGTCCCATGGCCCCTGAGGGTCCCCAGAGCACACTTTCCTATGTCAGTCAGCATCCAGCACTCCAGGCTGGGCAACATAGTGAAATGCCATCTCTGAAAGAAAAAAAAAATTAGCTGGGCGTGGTGGCACACAACTGTAATTTCAGCTACTTGGGAGGCTGAGGTGAGAGGATACCTTGAGCCAAGGAGTTTGAGGCTGCAGTGAGCTATGATTGCACCACAGCCTTCCAGCCTGGGTGACAGACTGAGACTCTCTCTAAAAAATAATAATAGTAACTTTTAAAAATATATTTTAAAAACTCAAACATCTAGCACATGAATGTTGTTACATGCTTGGCCTTGTACTAGGTCCTGGGGAAGACACACAAAATAATATGATGTAGGGACCAAAAAGAATATAAAATGTAGCCCCTGCCTTTGAGCACACTGAAATAAATGCAAAAAATGGAAAACTGCCTAGTGATGCAAGCTGGTATACAGTAAGTGCCAAATGAGAGTCAGAGCTAAGGTGTATCCCTGGCATTTGGAATAGCAGTCCCTAGGGCCTAAGTGGGGCAAGCCAGGTGTCTTGGAGAAGGACAGTTTTGTGCTGGGCTTGAAGGAAAGATAGTTGGTTTATGGGAAAGAATGGAATTGGCATCAGAAACTAGGATTCCCCTGGGTCCCAGTTCTGTCATTAATCAAACGTGTGAACTGGAGCCCATTATGACTTCCCCGGGTGCAAAAGCAGCTGTGACATTTCCAGGTTGCTGATCCTAGCTTGAGTTCACCCCTCTCCCTGGCAGACGGCTTGCTGTCTCTTTGCTCACTCATGGTCCAATGTGTACCTCCCCAGGGCCCTGCATACCTCCCCAAGAGTGGCATGTCCCACCCTTGAACTCAATGCCGCGGCCATTAGCACTGGATAAGCACAAACTCCTGACAGATACACACTTCCCATTGTTTCCACACTGAGTGGTCCTCTCTGTAAAGGCCTTTGATGTCTTGCGGACCTGGATCTCAGTCCAGGCCCCTCTACTTCCTTGTTCTATAACCTTAGGCAAGTTGCTTAGCTGCTTGGAACCTCAATTTGTTTATGTGTGAAATTAAGGGAATAATACCTTACAGCGTTGTGGGGAGAGTTGATTGTCAATCTCTCAATCCAAGACACAGTCCAAAGTGGGGACTTTCAAGTTAGAGCTGCAATTCATCATCCATCTCTGGTAGGCTGTACATACAACATAGTTGCAAGCAACACAAGTTATGAAATATAATATTGGATTAACTGATTTATTTGTTTCAAATTTTAAATCACCACAGAACTGGGTCATCATGGAAAGATAAAAAAGAAATAGAAAAACAAATACTACTGATCCTACTAAACCTCCCCAAGAAGAGAAAATAAGAGAAAGAGAAAAAGACTATGAGTGCTGTAACTTTACAAGGTTTTAGACACTTTTCGATTTTCATAAGTAATCACAAATCCTTATTTATACCTTTCTTGATACTGCGGAATATTACTTATGAGGACTAGTAATACCCAGTATGCAATGATTTACTCAGAAGCAGAAGTTGGAAAGTCACAGAAGACCTATTTTTGATTCCAGGCCCACATTCCTCGAACCGAACTTTACCAATTGCTATTTTCCAGAAAAGAAACATAAAAAGGTAGGAAGGAAGGGAGAATGGAAGCAAGGAAGAAAGGAGGAAGGAAGGGAGGAAAAAAGAAAAAAAGGAAGGAAGGAAGAAAGAGAAAGAAAAGAAAAGGAGAAAGTTAGGAAGGGAGAAAGGAAGGAAAGAAGGATGGAAAATAAAGAGAAGAAAAGGAGAAAGGAAGGAAAGAAGGAAGGAAGGAAAGAAGGAAGAAAAGAGAGGAGGAAGGAAGGAAAAAGGGAAGGAAGAAAAGAGAGAAGGAAGGAAGGAAAAAGGGAAGGAAGGAAAGAGGGAAGGAAGGAAGGAAGGAAAGAAGGGAGTGAGTGAGGGAGGGAGGGAAGGAGGGATGGAGGGAAGGAAGGAAGGAAAGAAAGAAAGGAAGAGAAACTGCCCTGTATGGCCCTTCACCTACCCCTGCAGGGGTCATTAGGATACTGCTACTTCATCACTTTCACAGGTTAATAATTACTGTTGTTTTCTTTCCCCTGAGTTTTATCTTATGTGGGTTGGGAAACTCTAGCTAAGAGAAGTGATAGTTTGTGATCTTTTTTGATTATTAAGGAGGATGAAGCGTTTTCACTTTCAATGGAATATGTGTATCAAAGGCATGTGCATACATACAGTTAATTTGACTGAGACCCAGGGACGACTTGGGAGGTAGTTGGCGATTATTTCACTATTACTGAGTTGTACTGGTAGAGTTTTATAACTTGCATGCCATGATCACACAAATTTTTCCATTTAGATCTCATAACTACCCTTGGAATAAGGTTTTCACTTAGGATGCCTTTAGCCAAAATAACAGATGACCCAATTCAGAGTTAATAAAGAGAAGCTGGAAAATTTTTTAGCTTACATAAGAATTCCAGAGGAAGATTCCTCTCTGCCATTCTCGCCATCAGATTTGTCCTAAGGCTGGTAGTATAGAGCTAGTCCTAGCTGGGCCTATCTGCTTCCTTGTCCAGGCCCAGCTTAGAGAGAGGCCAGCTTTGTGAAGCAGCATTTTCTTAAGAGCCAGGACGCTGATTTCCCAGAAGCCACCAGTAATCCTCTGCTCATGTCTCATGGGCACAGAATGGCTTAGGCAGGCCTGTTTCTATACTAATATGGCCCAGGGGATAGACATCTTGATTGGCTTAGACTCATTAGTTGGGGTAAATAGATATTGAGCAGTCAGCTACAATGTCCTCTACATATGTCATTTTCTAGATCAGAGGTTGGCAAGTTGTAGCCTTTGCACCAAATCTGGCCAGCTGCCTGTTTTGTAAATAAAATTTTATTGGAACACAGCCACATTCATATGATTATGTATTGTTTATACCTGTTTTTGTGCTAGGATCACAGATTGACTGGTTGTGACAGAGACCATATGGTTCACAAAGCCTAACATGTGTATTATCTGTCCCTCTACAGAAAGTTTGTTGACCGTTGTTCGAGATGAAGAAAGTGGAGTTGAGGTTAAACAACCTGTCCAGCGTCAAAGAGCTGGTAGGCAGAGGCTACAGTCTAAGCCAGAGGCCCAAAGCTCTCTCTGCTACCAGCTCCACTGGGAGAATTTCTTGGGATAGGCTTGCATGTTTTGTGATGTGTGCCAATGCTGCCTTTTACACAGAGCAACACTGACGTAGGCCTGCTGAAATTAATATGTCCATAGTGACGAATTTAGTTCTTAGGAACTGAAATTCTACATGCTAATGTGGATAGAGGGATAAGGAGGGGCATGAGAAAATGAAAAGGATATTTTATAATTTATCATAAAACACTGGACGCTCCATTTTTAAAAGACACACAAACATCAACTGGAATAAGATTTAAAAATTTTAATAAGCACTGGCATGAAATTACACATTTTCTTTCTTTCTTTCTTTTTTTTTTTTGAGGCAGAGTCTTACTCTGTCATCCAGGCTGGAGTGCAGTGGTGCAATCTTGGCTCAATGCAACCTCTGCCTCCCGGGTTCAAGCGATTCTCCTGCCTCAGCCTCCCAGTAGGTGGGATTACAGGCACACACCACCATGCCCGGCTAATTTTTGTCTTTTTAGTAGGGGTTTCGCTATGTTGTCCAGGCTGGTCTTGAACTCCTGACCTCAGGTGATCTGCCCACCTCGGCCTCCCAAAGTGCTGGGATTATAGGCATAAGCCACCATGCCCTGCTGAAATTACAGATTTTCAACAGATAACTTCACATAGATTGAAATGTTGATTCATGTTTACTTTGATGAGTTTAATTCACAGAAAGTTTTTAAAATGAAGAACATGAAATGAACATAGTATTCACAAAAAAGGACACACCTGTAATATCTGTTTTTCCTTTATTATGCAGTCAATCCCTGCTCCCCAAGTGTACTTCTTCAGCCCCTCACCTACCCCTCATCTTTCTGCAGTAGTTTGTCTCCAAGGTGGCCCAAGTCCCTCTAGCCTTCTAGAATTCATACCCCCATAGAGTTTCCTCCTACATCATCTAAGAGTTGGTCTATGACCAATAGAATATGGCTGGCATGATGGCGTGCAATGTCTTAAAAGGCATCACAGAGTCTACCTTGGTTTCCTGACTTGCTTGCTCTGGGGAAATTCAGTCGCCGTGCTGTGAGGGTGCTCAGGCAGCCCTGTGGAGAGCCCCCTTGGAGAGGCACCAAGGCCCCCCACCAGCAGATTCAGTAACTTGCCAGCCATGTGACTGAGTTCATGGGAAGCAGTCCCTTCAGCCCTAGTCAAGCCTTCAGATGATGGCAACCTTGGCTCACCAAAGATGGTGTGAGAGATAATAAGTGCTTATTGTTATTTTTAGTCGTCATGTTTTGGGGGTAATTTGTTATGCTGCCATAGGTAACTAATACTGACATGCTTGCCTCGTCACATGATACTCTTTTTCTTTCATTTTTGGTCAAAAGTGATGGTGGAAGAAAGAGGCAGGCAGGTCAGAAGGAAGTTAGGGATGAAATGAAGGACAAAAAAGGAGGCTAAAAAGATGTCAAATGAAGGGAAAAGAAGGGGAAAAAAAAGAGTCCCAGATATTTCAGAATAGCACATGTTCAATTCTTCTGATAACAGTAACAATAGGTAGCTTTTATTGAGCACTTACTAGGTGCTTGGCACTGTGGTGGTATCTATAAGCACATTTTCTTTAAGGGATCAAGGGTTCTATTTTTTTACTAAAAATATGCACCTTAGAGGGAGGAAGTAATAAATATGAGGGATAAAAGCTGGACAATAGAGAACATTGCAAATAAGGCTATACAGAAAAAAATTACATGGAACTTTAAAATTTGGTAAGGAAAGGGGAAAGAAAAGATCTATGTGTGTATTATGGATATGAAAAAGATATTCTTCCTCTTTTCCTTCTTTTAGTCATTTTTCATTCATTCAATAAATATTTGTTTTAGGTACTAGGATCCAGCATTGAGCAAAACACAGTAATAGAGCTTGCACTCTGGGGCCATTTCCTCTTTTTCAGAGGATGGCATCACCAAATAGTCATGGTGCCAGAAACCTGAGAGTCATCCTAATTCCTCTTTCTCCCCACCTCTACCATCATCAATGCTGGGGTCCTGGCAAGTTCCTCTTGCTGTTCTCTGTCCCATTGCTGCTACCTCTCCTTCACTGGGCATTCATCATTTCTCCCCAGCTGCACCCATTTCCCACGGCTGCTGCAACAATGTGCCACGAACTGGGTGGCTTTGAACAACTGACATTTATTGTCTCACAGGTCTAGAGGCGGAAGTCCAAAATCAAGGTCTGAGTAGGGCCATGCTTCCTCTGAAGGGGAAGAATTTGCTCCAGGCCTCTCTCCTGGATCCCAGGAGTTCCTTGGCTTGTGCAAGCCCAACTCCAGTCTTCACATGGCACTCTCCCTGTGCACGTGCCCGCCTCATTACGTGATGCTCTTTTTATAGGGACACCTGTTATGTGGGATTAAGGACCCTCTCTAGAATCACCTCATCTGAACTATTACATGTGTAACAACCCCATTTCCAAATAAGGTCACATTCTGGGTTACTAGAGATTAAGACCTCAACATCTTGGGGGGAGTGGTCACAATTGAACCCATACCACCTGGGTTATGGCACAGTCTATCAGCCCACATATCTTGAATCCCTACCTCTAGTAATCCCCTCACTACTCCCCACATCTGTCCGGCACATGGTGGTCAGTGTGATCTGCCTAAAATGAAAACTGGATCATGTGATTACTCAGCTAAAAAGCCTCTCAAGTTTCATTTATCTTTAGCAAAGCACAAAGTTCCTTAAAACCTGCCCTGTGCTTCCCTCACTAGCTCCATCTCCCTAACTGTTTCACTTTTACTTGTATTTTAGCCACAAAGAACCAGACACATTTCCCAGAATCTGTCACAGGCCCCATTCCAAGGCAAGCTTCCTCTCATTTTCATGCTGTTTTTTTTAAAACTAAGTTCCCTACCCCGCCCCCGACCTTTGCCAAACACTCCCCCTTACAAGACTCAGCTTAAATCATTTGCTTTGGGAATTCCTCTCAGATTCCTCCAGACTGAGTTAGAATTAGAGGTGTTCTCTGTTTCCCTTAATTATCAACCTACTCATCACGCTGAGTTATAAATAATCTATTTGTCTCTCTTTTTAAAACTGTCAGTCCCTCCAGGGAGGGATTATGCATCCCTTGTCTTTGTATTCCTGTGCCTTCTTGTCTTTGCATCCCTAGTGCCAAGTATATTATTGTCTTAGTCTGTTTGTGGAGCTATAACAGAATACCCGAGACTGGGTCATTTATAAAGAACAGAAATGTATTAGCTTACAGTCCTGGAGGCCGTGAAGTCCAAGAGCATGGTGCCAGCATCGGGTGAGGGCCCTCTTACTGCATCATCCCACGGCTTAAGGCAGAAAAGCAAGAGAGAGTGAGCGCAAAAGATTAAGAGGCCAAACTTGCAGCCTCTAGCCCTTTTATAATTGGTGTTATTCCATTCATGAGGGTGACAGCCTCATGACCTAAACACCTCTCATTAGGCCCCATCTCCCAACACTATCGTATTGTGGTTTAAGTTTCCAACATATGAACTTTGGGAGAGTTCATATGTTAGCAACTTAACATATGAACATAGCATGTATCAATTAAAAATAAGTATTCAGTATATGTTTGTTGAACTCACTTTACTGTCTTCTCTTTGAACTGTGCCTTTTGCAGAGTGCAAGTAGAAGAGAGAAAGGTGGTGGTTCGATAAGCCACCTTGTTCTTGTAGTTTCGTGAGAGAACTTAAACTAAATCTTTCAAATACGGATCTAATGGGTTTTATTTATTCTGAGCTCTTTGACTCGGCTGGTATGGAACTTTAAAAATAAGGAAACTGAGGCACACAACTTGAGTTAGATAATGGTTTGTTTAAAAGGACACCGTACATTTCCCTGTCTTCTCACTTACACGAGGCGGTCTTGGCTCCCCAGCTGGAGAACTTAAGTAATGAATGTCTGTAATTAATCTGGGGACTTTTCTTGTAAACACCAACCTAAAAGTGATATTTTTGGTGGTATTGTTCACATCACTGCCACCACCATCATTTCCACATGTGCTTCTCATAACTGAGCTCCACACAGTCTCCAAATGGTAATTCACCAAAACTTTCTCTTTCCTCTTGGCTCCTGTAAATCCCCTTGGTTCTCTTTCTATGTCTCTGCTCCTTTTCTAGAGAATTTTCTCTTAATCATAACTGTGGTGCTCTTCAAGTGTGGCAAGTTGTGCTTTCCAAAGATAGCCACACCTGGATATTTATTCTGTTTCACATGTTCTTCTTATGATGTGAGTAGCCCTCCCCCATTGAGAGCTAGAGTCTAGGTTTCCTCTTTTTGAAGCTGGGTAGGGCTTGGTGACTGTCCTGATCACAATGGCAAAATTGGTGTCCTGTGATCCAAGAATGAGTCATAAGAAGGATGTAGCTTCCACCTCGCTTACTCTTCCTTCTCTCTCCTTTTGCTTGACTTGGAACCCAGCTACCACAGCTGAAGAAACTCCGGCCACATGTGGAGGCTATATGCAGGCATTCCAGCTAAGGTCTCAGCTGACAGCCAGCACCAACCATCAAATGTGCAAGTGAAAATCTTTCAGATGATACCAGTTTCCATCCTTCAAGTCTTAAAGCTGAGGGCCCAGAAGTCTTAAAACAGAAATGAGCCATTCCGACTGGACCCTGTCTAAATTCCTGACCCCATTAATTCTCACTAGTGAGAATTAATAAATGATGGTTGTTGTGTTACACCACTGGATTTGAGGGTAATTTATTACACACTGATAGACAGTTAATACTAAGAGCCTATTTTCTCTTTTGTTCTCTCCCTGGCAATTTCTTTCACTATGCCAATGTCTTGTTATCCTTCTCATCACCTTCCTCCCAAGTCAACTCTCCCATCTTTGCAAGTGCCTCCCCATAATTACATTCAATGCAGGCTTCCTGCCTGTGTTCAGTGTTGCATTACCAGTTGTCTAGTGGTCACCTCTGAATACCTAGACTTGCTATTGCACAAAAAGATACTTAGCGTCTTGCTCCTCAGATTCATTTCTCTTCTGTTTTCTCTGTTCTCTGGAACCAATCTACCTGTCTACAAGCGTTGATCATCATTGACTCTTTCTTTCCTGTCTGTCCTACCCAACAGGTTGCTAAGTGCTGCATTGGGTCAGTTGGTATGATTTTGGCTGCAAGAAATACAAAAGTTAGCTAATCATGGTGTGGCATTTTGGGGCCAATCAGGAGGTAGAAACAGGGGAGTCTTAATATAAATAATTACTAACTATGATGAAGGAGTAACTGTAAGATGTAAGAAAACTCTACATAGTCCCTCAGGCTGACGGAGAGGACTCAAGGAATGACAAGCCTTCAGATCTGAAGGCATTCAGATTTCATGGGAAAAGGTTTGTTTCCATTTATTGGATAGCAGACTGGCCAGGCTGGAGCTGGCCTGCACTAGTATGCAAGTTGGGGAGCAGGTGGTCAGCACCTCATGGTATGGATGTCCTGGGAACAGCAGGAGAATCTCTTCTGCAGTTTGCCTCCAGTGTCCTCTGCTCAGAAAGCTTAATGTCATTTAGTTGAAAGGAGAACTGCTTAAATGGATTCCTTTATCACAGAGCATATACTAGAAGATGCATTCAAAGCAGAGAGGCAATACATTAATAACACATGCACTTGGCTTAGGCATATTTATTTATTCTATCACAAAACAAAAGATCGGATACAAGAGTTTTGGTGAAGTGGACCAGTGTCATTCAGGATCCTGATGTCTTCCGTCTTGTTCCCACTGTGTTGGCCACATTTTCCCTCACAGTTATGAGGGGACAGCAGTTTCATATAGAAATTACTGCATCCAGACAACAAAAAAACACAAAAGGGGAAGGGATTTCTGTTTTGCAACTCTTTTTATTGGAGAGAAAGCATTTTGCAGAAGATCTCAGGAGACTTCCCATCGAGTTCCATCATCAGGACTGGGTCATACGCCCTTGCTCTGGCTGTAAGAATGTCTGGGAAGTGAGAATCTCACACCCACAGCCTCTGGTGGAGGTGGGCTTTGCCAGCAATCAAGGGCATGAGATGCCTGCAGGAAGGCAGCCAACCACACCTGCCTCATGCCTCTAACCCTATTCCCCTCTAAATTCCCATGCCAAAGCCTTAGGGCATTATCTTTGATAGTTACCTGGCCAGGTGTTAACTAACTGGGAACTGGGTGTTTTTGAAGGACACAAGGCTTTCTGCTGTCGAATTTGTCACCTTAATTGTGATACTTTTAATAAATTAGCTTCCAGTCTATCTTAAAACCAGATGGATTTTCCTGATGTGTCACCGTGAACATCTCTCTTTCTCCAAATCTCTCAATGAGGAGGCAGTTGATGAGTTAACTGCATGGGCTTTGGTCCCAGATCATACAGCTCACATCCAAGCGCTGTCACTTACCAACTGCATGACCTTGGGCAAGGTATATAATTTCTTTATGACTGAATTGCTCATCTTTTCAAGGAGGGTAATAAAATTACCTATTTGGTGGGATTGGTATTAACAGTAAATGATATAATACAGGAATGGTATTGACAGTGAGCCTTCAGTATGTATTATTGTATCTGCTGTTATTGTTCCCTACTTCATATCCAGCCAAATCTAAGCTTATTAGATGACCATTTAAGATCCTCTAGGAGCTGGGCACAATAAAAATTTTCAAACTTATATAAAAATTGACTACGTCCTAAACTGCGAGCTCCTTGAGGGAGGGATTATATTTTATGAGCCCAGGATCTAGCACAGTTTTTGGCCAAAAGTAGTTTTTCTTTATTCCCATGTGACTTTTGCTTAAGCAAAAGGCCTTGTACAGCAAATACAGCTTCTGTATTTTACCATGGCCTTGCACTTGCTGTTCTTTGTGCCTACAATGTCCTTTCCCTAAATTTCCCCCATTCTTCCAGATTCACTCAAAAGCAATCTCTTTCATGATGAGATCTCTTTCCCAATTCTCATTTTGAAAAATGTCAAACCTATAGAAAAGTTGAAAGAATAGTACAAGAGCACTGATATATTCTTCACTACATTTGTGACTGTTAATATTTTTAACCTCTGCTTGCTATTCATACATATATTCTTTTTTTCCCCTGAAATCATTTGAAAGTTGCCAACATCATGACACTTCACTTTCAGCATGTATCACATAAGAACAAGCACATCGTCCTATGTAATCACAGTAGCTTTATCTTATGAAATTTAACATTGATTCAATATTATTTACTGTACATTTTTTCTTGGCAGTTTATGATCTTAGAAATCAAGAAGCCTAAAATGAATCACTGTGTGTTTTGAGGGTCTTTTGGTAGAATCATGTTCCTTTCTGGGTGTTCTAAAAAGTTCCTGGATCTTTGGGGTGAGATTCTGTTTGAGTTTCAGAACAATGTGTGCATGCCATCAGTTTGATAGCTCATGGTTTGTGTTCCAAAGGGGCAGCTATTAGTGTTACCTGTCCCTGCTATTGCTCTTGACATCATGCAGGGACATCCTCAGTAGCTGCTCTTTCTGCCCTTGGTCTGTCATTTGAGCTTGTGTTTCCAAAGTCAGATGCAGGAAGATTGGGTCCTCACAACAGGGCGGTGGTTGGAGCACCTGGATGCCAAGCCTGGATCTGTCCTATCATTTGAGGGACATTTGTGTTCTTGGCTATTTGTGTTCTTAGGCTGCCATAACAAAGTACCTCTGGGTGGCTTAAAATGACAGAAATTGTCTCACACAGTTCTGGAGGCCGGAAGTCCAAAACCAAGGCATTGGCAGGGTCACGCTCCCTCTGAAGGCTCTAGGGGAGAATCTGTTCCATGCCTTTGTCCCAGCTTCTGGTGTTGCTGGCAATCCTTGGTGTTCCTTGGCTTGTAGATGCATAGCACCTCCATTCTCATATGGCTGCCTTCTCCTTGTGTGTTTCTTGCCCACTTCTTGAAAGTACACCAGTCATACTGGATTAAGAACCCACCCTACTCTAGTATAACCTCATCATAATTTATCCATAAGGAATGACCCTATTTTCAAATAAGGTCACACTTGAAGTACTGGGGGTTATGAGTTCAACGTATTCTTTTAGGGGACACAATTCAGCCTATAACAGGGGGTCTTAGGCTGATATCTGTGAGTCTCTGCTTCCTCAAAGGTTTTTCAGAAAATTTAAATGAAATACAGGAGAATTATGCCCTGCAGTATTTGACTTTACAGCAGGAGTCCCCCAACCCTCCGGGCCATGGACTTGTACTGGTCTGTGGCCTGTTAGGAACCTGGCCGCACAGCAGGAGAACGAGGGCATTACCGCTGAGCTCCGCCTCCTGTCAGATAAGTGGTGGTGCAAACCCTATTGTGCATGAGAGGGGTCTAGGGTGGACTGTCCTTGTGATGCCTGATGAAACATCCCCCACAACAGCCCTCCACCATCCATGGAAAAATTGTCTTCCACGAAATTGGTGCCTGGTGCCAAAAGGTTGGGGACTGCTGCTTTAAAGTCCCTTATATAGGATTTACATTAAAAATTTTCCAGTGGTCTCCAAATGTCCCTTATACCTTCCTATTTTTGGGTCTAGGCTCCAAGTAAGAATCACGCATTGCATTTTGTCATGCCTTTTTAGTCTCCTTTAATTTAGGACAATGGTTCTCAAACTTCCATGTGTATGAGAATCTCCTGGAGAGCTTGCTAGAGCAATCTCCTGGTGCCAAACTTCCACGTTTATGAGAATCTCCTGGAGAGCTTGCTAGAGCAATCTCCTGGTGCCAAACTTCCACGTGTATGAGAATCTCCTGGAGAGCTTGCTAGAGCAATCTCCCGGTGCCAAACTTCCATGTGTATGAGAATCTCCTGGAGAGCTTGCTAGAGCAATCTCCTGGTGCCCATCTCCAGAGATTTTCATTCAATAGGTTGAGGCAGGACCCATGAAATGGCATTTCTAACAAGCTGGTAGGTGACACAAAAGTTGCTTGTCTAAGGACCGCACTTTTGAAAACCACTGATCTAGAACAGAGGTTGGCAAGCTTTTTCTGCGGAGGGCCATATGGTAAAATATGTTAGCATTTTCAGGTCATACAGTCTCTGTTGCAACGACTCAACTGTGTCATTGCAGGCAAAAGCAGCCCTAGATAATACATAAACACATGGGTGTGGCCGTATTCCCACAAAACTTTATTTACAAAACAGCTGCCTTACCACATTTGACCCACAGGTTATTGCTTGCTACATGGATTTAGAGTAGCACTTCCACTTTTTTTCTCTTTTTTTTTTTGGAGGAGAGTTGTTTTTTCAGCGCATTAATATTTTGCAATAGTCCAGTTCAGTTTTCTTGTCATATGTTTCACAGTTTGAATTTGATTGTTTTATCTCAATTAGATTAAGTTGAACTTCTTGGCAAGACTACTTGTGATAGTGTGTACGGTAGGGAATAACTGTGAAAGACTTTGAAATGGACCAAAAATATTAGTGGTCAACTGTAATGGAATGCTAGCTGTTTAGTACAGTCTTTTGGGTTATCTGATTCTATGGGGTCTTGTGTCTGCCACTGTCTTTGAGGTATTTTACAACTCTGTAAATTGTAGACTACTGATGGTAATATACACGATTTTTGTCTTTAGAAATGCAAATTGTGTCTATTGCGTACGCAGCTGTTTTTTGACCTATGGTTACTGACCAATTTTCCATCTATAGACAACCTTATTTCAGCATTCCTAACTGCTTGAATATTTGTTGGATTCTCCTTGGATTTTCCTTTGAACCAGCTGTGACATGTTACCGGTTCTCACATTAATGAATGAGCTAAGGAATACCTTTGATACATGTTCATTCTACATCTGAGTCATGATTATACCATCTTTTAAATATTACCCTTTAGCATTTTTTATTGCATCACTTTAGAAAGCAGAAAATGCTAGTTTTTTAAAAATTGGTGATACTAGTTTTAATTACTTGATTAAGGTGGTTCTACCAGATCTTTCCATTGTGAAGAGGTATTTTGTGTTTTTTAAGGAAGTATACTTTGAAGGTGATACTTTGAGACAAAGAGAATATTCCGCTTCACAATAATTTTTCACCAGATGGTTTTAGTATTTACTGATGGTCTTTGCCTGTATCCATTATAACACTGGAGTTGCAAAACACAAACCCTTTTTCTTTTTTTTTTTTTTTGAGATGGAATCTCGCTCTGTTTCCCAGGCTGGAGTGCAGTGGCACGATCTCTGCTCACTGCAACCTCTGCCTCCTGGGTTCAAGCGATTCTCCTGCCTCAGCCTCCCGAGTAGCTGGGACTACAGGCGTGTGCCACCACGCCCGGTTAATTTTTTGTATTTTTAGTAGAGATGGGATTTCACTGTGTTAGCCAGGATGGTCTCGATCTCCTGACCTTGTGATCCGCCCGCCTTGGCCTCCCAAAGTGCTGGGTTTACAGTCGCGAGCCACCGCGCCCGGTCACCACAAACCCTTTTTCGACGTCCACAGTTTACACCTGAGCTCTCCCTTTGACCCACTACAACACTTTCTTTTCTTGGGCAATATATTAATAGCACGGTGGTTATGTCACAGGCCTGTGACTGGCTTGGGCTCAAACCCGGGCTTTTTCACTTACTAGCTGCAAGACTAACTAGTTATTTAATTTCTCCATTCCTCACTTTCCTTATCTGCAAAACGGATGCAATAAAGGCACCCCCTCTTACAGGACTGTTAGGATTAAATGAGCTAAATCACAGTGTCCGAACACTTCAGTACTTCGTACATAATTACTTGCTCAAGAAATGTTAGCTATTATTGGGTCATGATTATTTATATGTGTTTGAATTCCAGCTTTGCCACATCCCAGAGTGTCTTTGAGTAAGTCACTGAGTATCCTTGTGCCTCAATTCCTCATCTATAAGTAGGTTCCCATCTCATAGGTTTTTAAAGATTCATGCTTACATGCTTAGCAGTGTCTGGTATGGAATAAGCACTAAAAAAGATGAGCTTTTATGATGATGATGATTACTATTTTCAGTCATGATTATTTTGTATATTTACTCTAAAAGAAAGTGAATTTTTTTAGTTCAAGACTTTTAGATTCATCGTTCTACTTTCATTGTGGCTAGCTCATGGCCATCCACGTAGTGAATTAATAAAGCTTTGTTGAGTGGCACTTGCTTGACAGCGACACTTTTGTCCACTCTTTCACCTTGCTGGATTTGTGCTGCCTTCCTTGCTGTAGGAAGCCCACGCTTGGGAAATAACATTCCCACAGAAGGTCTGAGAGGCTCTGACGGGCCAAGGTTGTAAACCCCCATGATTTGACTCCACGGGCAGTTAAAGTGTGTTCCCACCCCCCACGGATCCGCTGCCACTAGGCTGTGCGAAGGCATTTACCTCCCTGGCACTTTGATCCAAGTTCCCTATTTTCCCCTACTGGTCGATCGAGGTTGGGAACAGTTGCTCTAACCTGGGAAGCACCCGCCACGATCCAGCAGGGCGCGGTGGGAGGGGAAACTGAGGCCCGGCTAGGCACCCCCGCCGCGCCCAGCCCGCCGAGAGGCTCAGGCCCCGGGAGGCACCTGGAGCCTGCGCCCCGCCCGCGCCGCTTCCTGTCCCGCGCGCTGCGCTCACGTGACCCGGGCCTGGGAGGAGCCGGGGCGGGCGGGGGTCACCTGAACAAGGGAGTCACGTGAGCGGGGGGCGGGGGTGGGGGGGCGGTGCCGGGCGGCTGTCACGTGACGCGGTTCCGGGGCCGCCGCTGCCGCTGTCGCTGTCGCCGAGCCCAGTCGAGCCGCGCTCACCTCGGGCTCCCGCTCCGTCTCCACCTCCGCCTTTGCCCTGGCGGCGCGACCCCGTCCCGGGCGCGGCCCCCAGCAGTCGCGCGCCGTTAGCCTCGCGCCCGCCGCGCAGTCCGGGCCCGGCGCGATGGGGGCCGCCGCCGGCCGGAGCCCCCACCTGGGGCCCGCGCCCGCCCGCCGCCCGCAGCGCTCTCTGCTCCTGCTGCAGCTGCTGCTGCTCGTCGCTGCCCCGGGGTCCACGCAGGCCCAGGCCGCCCCGTTCCCCGAGCTGTGCAGGTGGGTGGCCCGCCCGGACGCAGGCTCCGCTCGCGGTGCCCGGGGTGAGCGGCCGGCGTGGGGGGCGGGGAGCGCTCGAGGAGCTCCTGGGGTCTCCAAGTCGCCTCCGTTCCGCGCCGGGGTCCGCCCCGTTCCCGAGGGAAAGTTGCCTGCGTGGTGTCCGCGAGTCCCGCCGGGTCCCGTGCGCAGGCGGGGGGCGCGGGGGCACACGCGGTCGTGGCGGTCCTGGAGCCCCGCGTCCGGCCACTTGTGGCTGTCGCTGAGTCGGGGGTGGCTTTGTGCGGAGCGGTCGCCCCGGCCCTTGGGGTCGGCGCCTGCCCTCGCGCGGCCGGGCGTCCGGGAAAGTTGGAGGCAGGAACTCCAGTTTGCTTTGTTCCCGCTGCGCGTTTGCATCAGAGTTTCGCCAGCGGGGCACCGGTGAGGCCCCTCGGTGTGGAGAGGCTCACCGGGGCGTTGGAGCCCGCAGGAATGGTCCTGGAGTTGAGTGTTTGTGGTTTCATTTGCTGATTGATTTCCCCCCGTGGGCTCATTTTCTCTTTAAAGAATATATATATATATATATTTTTAGCAGGCGGTGACTTTTGTCTTCTTTAGATTGGGGGCAGGGGGTGTCGTCCAGTGTGAGCTTTCAAGACTTGACCCTTCACTTCTCTGAGCCCAACTTCCTGCCTGGTTGCTCACATGATGTCATTGTCTCCGGGGCGGATTATTCTAGTGGATCTTGCTCTGGGAACCATGATTGTATAACCCATCAGTCCCATCGAGGGCTGTTCACCTCGCGCAACTGCTAGCAGTCCAGGGCCTGGGGAACTTCGAATTTCAGGAATTTTCTGACCATCCTTTTCTGGACTGTTTAGGATGATGGAAAATTCAGCTTTTGTTTATTTTTTTAAACTTTGGTAAAAAGGAAGCAGGATGAAAAGTTTTGAACAGACAACAGTTTCTCCCTGTTACTGTTACTTTTACAAGTTACTTTTACAAGTTACTTTTCAGAGTGAAACAAAGTTGAGCCTACTTTGGGCTGAACTTGGAGTTTGTGGTAGGGTTTATGGGGGGGGTTCTTATTTTTCCCATGCATCAGAGATAGTTTTATTAGCACCCCTGTGTTCAGAACATGCAGAAATTAGTCTAAGGAGGGTGAGGCTGATCTCACGATAGAAACTCTTTGGAAAGGCCCATATTTTTTATGCTCCCTTTTTTGGAAGGGGAAGGGTGGATGGAGGGAGAGTTTGTGACACTAGTTTAAAGACCAGTTAGCTACCCTAAGATACATAGTTACTCCAGTAACTAGTATGATACAGAGAAATGGTGGCAGCTTAAACGAGGTCAGGCTGAGAACAACATTTAGAGGAAGGCATTTTGGAATAATGGCTTCTGTGACCAAAAATAAGAAATTAACTCGCCTGGGCGCGGTGGCTCATGCCCGGAATCCAGCACTTTGGAAGGCCGAGGTGGGCGGGTCACTTGAGTCCAGGAGTTGGAGGCCAGCTTCAGCAACATGGCGAAACCCCGTCTCTACAAAAAATATGAAAATTAGAGCCGGGCGCGGTGGCACACTCCTGTCCTCCCAGTTAAGGGAGGCTGAGGTGGTAGGATAACGTTAGCCCCGCAGGTCGAGGTTGCAGTGAGTTGTGATCGAGTCGAGTTGCACTCTAGTCTGGGCGACAGAGCAAGGCCCTGTCTCAAAAATAAATAAATAAATACAATAAGAAATTAACCCAGCTGGCCTAGTGTGGTTGAAGTCTTGGTCTTGTTAACAAATTGAAGTTTGTTTTCTTCACAGTTAAGATTAAGGTGGCTTCAAGGGCAGACTGATACTTTGGCTGATTGATGGGACCCTTACTTTTGCATTAGGTTAGTCATGGCAGTGTCTTGAACCTGTGTTCACGAACTTCATCTCCAGGTGGAACACGGCCTCTTGGTCTAGTAGGAATGGCCTTTGTATCTTTACGTTTTTCTGGCCACTGTCACACGTGGGCATACTTAGCAAATGCTGAAGAGGTTTCTGAGGTTGATATGCATTGTGAATATAATAAGATCTGCCCTTTGTAGTCTTAGAATATCTTAAAAGTTGTGTTTAATTTTTCTGCCAGATTTTCTTAGGATGACAAATCTGCCAATCATTTCAGAGACGGATTTTCACCCACCTCTTTCCCTGTTACTTCCCTGTAGTTGCACATGCAGACTTCTCCAGAACCACTTGCAATCTCTACTTTAAACCCAACATGTGCCAAGTGAACTTCCTGTCTGTTCCTGTTTTATAATTTTTTGAGGCAGGGTCTCACCGCGTTGCCCAGGCAGAAGTGCAGTGGTGCAGTCATAGCTCACTACAGTCGTGAACTCCTGGGCTCAGGCAGTCCTTCCACCTCACCCTTCTGTGTAGCTGGGATTACAGGTGTGTGCCACCCCACTTGGCTTATTATATATTTTTTAAAATTTTTAATAGAGATGACGTCTTGCTATGTTGCCCAGGCTGGCCTCAAGCTCCTATCCTCAAGTAATCTTCCTGCGTCAGCCTCCCAAAGTGTTGGGATTACAGGCATGAGGCACCATGCTGGGTTTATGTTCCTGTTTTAAACTGATACCTCTCCTTAAATACTTTTTGAAAACTTTTCTTGGGGCGGGGGAGGTTATCAGTCATCTGTACTTTTATGAGATAAAACTGGCTAAAATTTCCGTAAATGTAGCATGTAGTTGAGGAATAGGAATGTAAGTTGATTTTTTTTTTAATTTGATACAAAAAATTTTATCGTGTCACCAAGGTGTGACGTGTTAAGCTCCATTTTAATTTTGTTCCTGGGCATCAGTTTGCTGAAATGTAAATAACTCGGCCAGGTCTCCACTGTGAGCATGAAAAGTCGAGTCCTACAAATGTCCCCGTTTGTTTTTGCTGCTTGGTCACATGGAGGCAGTCCCAAATGTACAGAAGGATCACATTCCAAATGTTTGTAAATTGGTAATTTCATACGTGGAATGTGTTTTTCCATTGATAGTATTCTTGTTCATTGTATGGCCCCCAGAAAGTCATTATCCTTGCAAAGGTTTTGGAGCACCCAGACACCATATGGCTTTAACAGAATCCTAGCCGTAAATTCTCATTGTCTCTAAAAGATGGAGTTGGATTTCCAGGAAAACTACCTCTCCTCCCAAGCCCAGCTCTCTAGAACCTAGAGAGAATATTTTTCATCTGCAGTCGCTTAGACCCACAAGAGGGACATGAGGGCCTGCTTCAGGGGTGCCTGCGAGGCACCTTGTGGGGGCAAAGCTTCAAGGTGACCTTTGGCTCTGAGCACTCCTGGGATGGGGTGCGGTTCCTGGTGCAGTTAGTTATTGGGAGGAACGAAGGAGACAGCACCATTTCAGCAGCAGCTTTAACTGTGTCCGTGCACGTGGAGGGGCCTGCCCTCTGAGTTGTGCATTGAACAGCAGGCACGACAAAGGCTCATTTCCCAAAGTGTATCTGGCTTGAAGCAGCGCTTTAAATAAGTGCATGGTTTTTTTTGGAGAGACTCAGCAAAGCATTTTTCAAGTGTCAAGTGGATTACTTGCCAGGTGGTCCCAGTGCTGAGTTAGAAGTTAATGATTCTTATGCAGGTATTTCTTGGGAGGTGATATTGCTAGTACAAAGTTAGTAGAAAACTTGTTTCTGAGGCTAGTGTGATAGGCTGTGGGACTGGCCTGTAGAAAAGACCTGGGGCAGGAAGGAGTGTTGAAGGTCAGTGGAGGGCGGGAATAGTAGAGCAAGAAGAGAGGGCATTCAGGAGGAGAGGAGCAGAGGCCAGGCCATGCAAAACCAACAACAGTGTCTAAAGTGATCTCAGCTTGTCAGTGGCTTTACTTATTACCATATGCTTTAAACTTTGTAAAATGTCATATTATATATGTAATATGCAAGTTTCCACCCTTTAGTTAGGTGTTAACAAGATGCTTAATGGGTGAGGTCTTAGCAGTGTGCATTAATGATAAAATAATGCTTTGGGATGGTTAGATTTAAGGTAGTTAAGAGCTTCAAAATTTGTACAGGACAAGTTTTCCCCAAATTGTTTAGGTATAAATGCTAGAAAGTTTTTATTATATTGAGGACAAGAGAATAATGAAGCCAGCTGGGAGTTGAGGTTGGTTTAGTTACTGTCTCTAAGGAGATTTTTTTTTCCCTGTAATTTTTCCAAAGGAACAGTGCTTATATGCCTAATTTGGGCCACATGTTAAACCTGGATCACATCCATTTGTGTGTGTGCATTTCAACAGTAAGTGTATGTGGAAGCCTAAGGTTGTTAATTATGGTTACATTAGATCTCATGGATTAATTCTCAGAACAGCATCCTGACAGATTCCCAGGAAATGAATGCCTGCGTTGGGCCTCACGTCTTTTGTCAGCATTTCATAGAGAGAGGGATTTTTAAAAGATGGGGCTGAGAGAAATAATTGAGATGTTCCCTTCCCTATTTTGATCTTGGTATATAAACTATTGTATTGGGGAAAGAACTGAGCAGGCTCTAGAACTGAGCCTAGTGGCAGAGAGTAGCTTATCACTTTGCAGGTGCTGTTCTTTTTCTTCCTCCTTTTCTTCTTTGGATTGTCCTAGCCACAGAGAGCTCTTGCTAATGTTGTAACTGGTCATGAATGGTGTATGAGGAGGTGGGCGTAGCAGCTGTTTGACTTCATGGGACCCACCAGACTGTAATGCCGAATTACAATTTTGCATTTCCACCAGTGATGTATGAGAGTTCCAGTTCTATATCCTTGTCAACACCTGTCAGTGTTAGGTTTAGCCATTCAAGTGGAGTTGTAATGGTATCTCAGTGTGGTTTCAGCTTTCATCTCTCTGCTGACTCATGATGTTGAGCAAGAAAGGAACATCTTTTCTTGTATTTATTGGAATCCTGGATGATGTTCACCATTATCATGTGCTTACTGACTGGGTATTTTTTGTAGTGTCCTTTAAAAATCATATTTTGTCCCTTTTACCCCTTAAAAATTGTTTTTGGGTTCTTCTCCTTATTGAGCTTTAGGAGCTCCTCATGTCTTCTGGGTACAAGTTCTTTCTTAGATATGTGTGAGGTATGAGTGTTTTCTTTCAGTCTTTGCCTTGCCTTTAAATTTTCTCAGTGATATCCTTTGAAGAACAGATTTAAAAAAATTTGATGGACTATAACTTTTTATGGTTTGTGCTTTTGGTAGCTTGAGAAATCAACCTTAAAACTAGTGACATTTGACCTGGGTAATTTTTTGTTTGGAGGGCTATCCTGGGCATTGTAGGATGTCAGCCAGCATTCCTGGCCTCTACTCACTAGATGCTAAGACTATACTCTACCACTCCCCCTCCCCCAGTGGTAACAAATAAAAATGTCTCCAGGCATATCAAAGGCCCTGGAGGGGAGGGGGCAAAATCACATCCAATTGAGAACCACTGGCCTACCCCAAGGTCTCAAAGATTTTCTCCTGTCTCTGCCTCTAGAAGTTTTTTGGTTTTAACTTTGATTCCTTAACTCTAGGATCAATTTTTGTGGTTTAATTTTTATATATGATGTTTGAAGAAAACTCAAACCATATTTTTCCTTTGCTCTCATTCCATGAACAGTCATCAACACAGAAGACCTCCGTAATCAAATGTGTGGTCGTTTTTCCCCAGGCACCAAGCAGTGACCCCTGGCCAATTCAATTCCTGACCCTGTCTACCTGGAGATAGTGTCAGATGCCACAGGTTTGGGGCTCAGTTCCCGAGACCGCTCCCCACCCCACACCAGTCACAAGTCCGGGCCTCTGGAACTTCTGACCAACTGGCTTCAATTTGGGGTTCCCAGAGTGCCTCTTTGGGTCTGATTAATTTGCTAGAGTGACTTACAGAACTCAGGAAAACACTGATGATTAGCAGTTTATGAGGATATTACAAGGGATACGGATGAAGAGATGTTTAGGGCGAGGTATTGGGGAAGGGGTGCGGAGCCTCTGTGACCTCCCTGGCTCACTACCCTCCAGGAATTGCCGTGCATTCAACTATTTGGAAGCTCCCCCAACCCAGTTTTTATGGAAGCTTCAGGAGGTCAGCATTTCTTCTCCCGGGTATAGGGTGGGACCCTCACTGGGGAGGATCTTAAGACCCACAGTCCAAAAGCAGGGAAGATGAGAGTCCTACCTTGGGGCAGGTGGAAGGAGGGGCAGGTGGAGAGATTGTTTCCTGAGGCCTGACACACCCAACATTATAACAAAAGACCAATACTAGGACTGTGGAAGTTGGCAGCCAGAAACCAGATGGGAAAAAAAAACCCATACATGTATTATATATATTTATATATATATATATATAAAGTATATGTATTGTGTATATATTATATAAGCATATTTATTATATATATATTATAGTGTATATTATATATGTATTATATATAATATATAATATATAGTTATATATAATATATACACACGCACATATATAAATAACACCACAAAAAGGGTAAAAGTTTATTTATTTCCATGAATATATCTAGTTCTGTTTACTAATACTTTATGAAATATGCTTACAGCTCTGTTTTTAAGTGAGATTGGGCTACAGTTTTTTTGCTCTGCTGTTCTTGATGGATTTTGTTATTAATAATATGTTTGCTTTGTGGAAGGAGCTAGTTAGCTTTTAGTATTTTTGTATGTGGTGAAACAGTTTGTATATAAGATGGACATTTTCTGTTTCTTAAAGTTTGGTAGAATTCACCAGTAAAACTATCTGGCCCTGGCAGGCTCTTAGGTGGAATATCATCGGGGAGGACTTTTGATTATGGTTTTTTCTAGTTTTATTTTCAGTTTTATCTAGTTTATTTTTCTATTCAGATTTTCTACTTTTTCTTGGGCCAATTTTGGTAATCTCTATTTTCCTAGAAAATTGTCATTTTAATTGTGTATTCATATTTAATAAGTAGCATGCTACTCTCATATTTTTGATACTCTATAGCTCTAGGTAAATTTTTAAAATTCCTGATGTTTACTTGTGTACTTTTTTCTTAATTATATTTACTAAAGACTTATTTACCTTTTTAAAGTCTTTCCAAAAGAACTAGTGTTTTGTTTTTTCATCTTTTCACCTTTTATTTGCAATTTTATTAATTTATCCACTCAGTAACTTCTACATCATTTTTCTGTTTCTCGTTTGACTTGAATGCTTAGCTCTTTTATTTTAAATCATTTTGCATAATTAAGAAATATATTTAAAGCTTCATGTTTCTTTCTTCGGAGTACCATACCACTCATAGATTCTGATACTTTTTTTTTTCTCCATATTTCAATTTTGTGTATTCCCTTTTTGGATTCAAAAGTTCTATCTGTTTCAACTTCCTGGACCCACTAAATTTTTAGATTTTTATTTTTTTCAGGTCCATGGACTTTGGGGGTTTTAAATTTATTTTTTCCATTGTGCGGGTAAATGTGGTGGAACTTACTGACATTTCCCTTGTGGCCTAACACCTAGTCAAGTTGGGAGGGTATTATGTGTTTGGAAAAAAAGTTCTCTGTTTGGGTCAAAGTTACTCATGGTGCTGTTCAGCTTTTCTTTGCCCTAACTCTTCTTCGGTTTGTCTGTTGCTTTTATTATTTGTATCTGGCTGCCGCTGTGGACAGGCATGTAGCTGGATGTCGTTTGCTGCTGTCGCCCAGCTTACCAGTTCTCCCATGGTTCAGATGTTCTTCTGCTTCCCTGTTGTCTTTTGTTGCAGAATCTCAGCTGATGTGTAGTCACAGCTGCCTGTTCTTTCTGCGTGGACGCTGTAGCTTCTGTCAACCCTCTGAAGATCTCTCTTAAAGTTCTGCTCTGATTGCTCTATTAATTATTTTTCCTTGGGCCCAGTTTCTTTGGTTTGAGTTTGTCACCATGATTGCATGGTGCTGGTGCCCTTGCAGTGACAGGTGACTCCTGACCGTGCACTCTGCAGTGGGTCTCCACCCGACCTTGGCTGCCTCCTTGTGCAGCTGCGTGGGGTAGGGCTGGGAGCAGTTGTTGGAATTTGGCTGTAAATTGTTTTCAGGGAGACTAGGGGATGGGCAGGATGTGCCTCTGTGGCTGTTCTTGGCGCTTTAGGTCCTTTCCACCCTCCCAATGTCACCCCCAAGCGCTGTTCTGCCAAGACACAGCTGCTAAACCCCTGTTGATTGCTGCTGGCAGCGTGTGGCCTGAGACGGGGGATCTGGATTGTTGAGTTGGCTGTGTCCAATCACTTCTTTTCTCTGGACCTCATTTTCCTCCTCAAGAGGGGTGGGACTTAGTTTTCTTTCTCTCTTTCCTATTTGAAAACCTCTCATTAGGGAGTTAGTTTTGGAAGTCACTTTCCTGGGCTTGAATCCAGACTCCTCCCCTCACAGGCCTTGGGCAAGTCACAGAACCTCTGAAGTCTTCCTTTCCGTGTGTGTCCAGTCAGGATGCTAACCATGTTTGTAGGCTAGGCGTGGGATGCTAACCGTGTTGTAGGCTAGGCGTGGGATGCTAACCGTGTTGTAGGCTAGGCGTGGGATGCTAACCGTGTTGTAGGCTAGGCGTGGGATGCTAACCGTGTTGTAGGCTAGGTGTGGGAATTGGAAGACATTTGAATGCCTGGCACGTCCTCGGTGTTCATTGGTGCTGTAGTGGTAGCAGTTGCTTTATCTGTAAGTTACAGATGCTGCCTTACATCAGGGATTTATTTTTATAACCTGTTTCTCGCCCTCCCAGAGCTCTCCATTAGTGTCTTGGGGTTTCTGCCTCAACCAGAGAGCATTTCTTCTTCATCTGTTTCATGATTGGCACTCCACGTAAGCTTCCTCATGAGAAAGAAAGGTTTCCACTGTTTAAAAAAGTTTCAAAGCCACTGGACTCCGTGATTTCCGGGTCCATTTTGCATCCCAAATTCTGCAGTTCTGAGGTTTGCAGCCTTGAGGAGTCCTTCCTCACTCAGATTCCCCCAAACAATGAGGAGCTTGATAATTCGAGGTGTGGAGTTTGGATGGGGGCCGGGGGTCACCCTCCTGCATGTGGTGGCTTGGTCCCAGGCTAGGCTGGGAGAAAGGGGGCTGTCGTGGTTCCAGGGCAAGAAGAGCCGTCCTCCCTGTTTCCCTGTGGTAGGATCAGGAAGTCTCAGCTAACTTCTGCACATGGTCAAGGGGGTCCTGTCCTCACTTAGGCCTCTCCAGGCCTCCCTGGAGGGTGGAGGAATGGGTGCTGTTGTAGGTGGGAACAGAAGTGTCCAGGCCAGTGGCTTGGATGTGAAAGTGCTTCATAAATTCCACCTTGCTGTGCAACTTAAAAAAAAAAAGTACGGTCGTTTAGGTTTTCGAGGTGCCCAAAGCAATGCGTCATAAGCCTATTTTTGTCTCCGTGTTAGCCAGGGCAGAGGGGCACTTTCCTGTGACTCCTCCAGGGTGGGGAAAATCCCAGGTGCTCTGTGAACCTGGCCGTTCAGCCAGCTGCAGACCTTTGGTAGGAGTTTTCTTTTTCCTTTTGTGTGCTTTTCGATCCCCTGGGGGCAACCATTATTCAGTACATCTGGAGGGCAAGTTGTCCAGGAAGAGGAAGCAGATCCTAGGAGTGTCGTCCTTCACTGGGAGAGGTGTAGGAAGTGAGGGGGATGGTGGAAGTACTGGCCCGAGCTCTGTTTTCAGGAGTGTGTGACAGCAAAAACTGGCCTTTGCAGTTGAGTTGCCTGTGGGCTATGGCCTAGAGGGAAGGCCAGGAGGGTCTTGCTGTTAGGGCTGCCACCTTCTTCATGCCTGCTGTGTGCTGGGAGGAGAGAGCTCCTTCAGAGCGGACCCACCATTGGATTTTGAGTGTGTGCAAAATTAACTTGTTGCTATCTGCATGGTTATCTGTACTCCAGAATCAGTTATACATTTTAAAACAGCTGTTTAGTACTGAAAAAACTCCCCCAACACTCCCTGCGCCCCACCCTGGCCTGCAAATAGAGTGCCAAGCCACCAGAATAGAAGTGCTAAAGTAGTGAGTTTCCTAGAAGTGGCAAGCCTGAGACTCCAGTGAGTCACCCTCATTGTTCCCCTGAGGCACCCTGCCTCCACCTGCTCTCTGCTCTCGAAGCGTCAGTTATACCAGCACTTCTCTCTTCTCTTTTGTCTCTTTTTACAGTCACCCCTTTAGAGTGACAGGCAGCGTGAGCTCATGGCCTTGACTTTGCTGGACATGCGGAGGGAGAGGAGAGCTGGTGGCAGAGTCGGGGGTTGGGCCCTGAGGATGGGGCTGTTTTATTGGAGAGTCCGCTGTCACCAGGCCTTTCTGTAAAAGGCTGGAAGTGAGCGAGTGAACCAGGCACCCTGGTGGGGGGCCTGCATGTCAGACCCAGCGGGAAGCATGTCTGACTTGGTTGAGAGGCAGCTAAGGGCCCAGTGTGTCTGGGTGGGCTGAGCCATTGGGAGAATGGAGGGAGGGGCCAGAGAGCACGGAGGATTAGCTGTGGCCAGATCACAGAGGCTGTGGGACTTTGGGCTCCCTCTGGGTAAAAGCCAGAGCCCTTGAGGACTTCAGTAGATTGGTGGATTGAAAGGCACATGGGCCGGTGCTGTGGCTCATGCCTGTAATCCCAGCACTTTGGGAGGCCGAGGCGGGTGGATCACGAGGTCAGGAGATCGAGACCACGGTGAAACCCTGTCTCTACTAAAAATACAAAAAATCTTAGATGGGCGCGGTGGCGGGCGCCTGTAGTCCCAGCTACTCGGGAGGCTGTGGCAGGAGAATGGTGTGAACCCGGGAGGCGGAGCTTGCAGTGAGCTGAGATCGCACCGCTGCACTCCAGCCTGGGCAACACAGTGAGACTCCGTCTCAAAAAAGAAAGAAAGAAAGAAAGAAAGAAAGAAAGAAAGAAAGAAAGAAAGAAAGAAAGGTACATGGAAGATTCGATTGCTTGGATTGCCTTAGGGAACTATGAGATCCCTAGGTGAGGGTTGCAGTTGAGCATGGTAGCTGCTTTTCCTCTTCAGGTTGCCTTTAGGCTGCGATGGAGATAGCATGAGCTCTGGAGCAGGACAGGCTTCTTTCTAACATGGGCTTGGCCACTTTGTGAATTTGTGATCAGAGACAAGGTCACGGACCTCACTGGGACCTCCCTAGGCTGTCCATTCTGAGTCTGTAAGAAGGTGGAGAGGGGCAGCCCCAGCTGGGTGTTAGGCTTTGCGGAGCCTCTGCTGTCTGATGTTTGGCTCCAGCATCTTCAAAGCAGGGGCTTTTCTCCTCTGTCCACCTGATTGGCCTTTGTGAGGAACCACCACCTGGCGGTGGCCTCATTAGCATCATGGGCCAGCCAGCTGAGCTGACAGCCCGCAGGTTTTCTAGAAAGGCCCACCTTCCCTTGTAGTTTGCACACTCCAGGAAGGGCCCTGGGTCTGGGAGGGTTTTCTGGGACCTTGGTGACAGGGAGAGTAGGGGGCTGAACATTAAGGTCTGAATTCTGCGCTGGGGGCTGGATTGTCCTTAAAGGCGGTTGGCCTCAGACATCCACATGGCAAAGCAGGGAGTTTAGCCCATCTACAACTCTTCTTTATACATGAGGAGCAAAGTATGAGACCGCCCAGGTAATTGCTCTGATTGGAAGAAAATCATCACGGAGCAGGGTTTAGGGTTGAAATACTGGCCTGCATCCTGTACTGTTGAGTTGATCTGAGCCAAGGATAGCAGAGAGGACCAGCCATTTTTGTGGTAGCTTTCTGTTGTGGAGGGCACTTGCCCACCTCCTGGGAACGCCACACCCTGGTGTGTTTGCCCTTGTTCTGTTTCCCCTGCTGCTCTTCTGCTGGAAGCTCTGGACTCACCTGTCTCTGTTGTGGATGGTGCAGGGCGGGCAGGCCAGAGTGGCATCCTTGTCCTGAGAGGTCCCAGGAGGCAGTTGAGTGTGTATGTGTGCGTGAGTGCGTGTGTGAGTGCACGAGTGTGTGAGTGCAAGTGTGTGTGTCTGAGTGTCTGTGAGTGCAAGTGTGTGTGTCTGAGTGTGTGTGTGTGAGTGTGTTTGTCTGAGTGCGTGTGTCTCTGTCTTCATCAGCTCCTAGGAGATGCCTCCGGACAGGGGCCTGCCCGTCTCTCCCTCCAGTTCCTTGCCAGTGTCATGTGACACTCCTTTCAGAGGGCACCCCCCGCCCCCAGCCAACTCACCTTTTTTTGTAAACTTAGTTTTTAAGCAGTCCAACTCTCTCTCTGGATTCAAATGAAAGCTTTAGATCATAGTCTGTTTCGATAGCTCTGTGTTCCTGGTGGTGGTTTTCTCCTCACAATGACCTTGTAGGCTAGCTGAGTTTTGTCGAGGAAGTTGAGCTGGGAGAGACTGGCTCACACAGCTTGTTAGTCAGCGCTGGGGCAGGAATCTGGCCCAGGCCCTTCATGGCACCTTTCTTAGGGTAGCGTGCCCCCTCTCTATTCCAGGTGACCTCTGTTACGCAGTCCCCATTGCCTGCCCTGGTTCCCTGGGCTCTGACATCAACTTAGATGTCGTGTTTGACTTAGGGCTTCCAGCCGGATCCCTCTCCATACACCGGGCTTCCTTCCAGACCCTGCATACCTCTCAGGGAAAACCAAAGGCTGACGTTTGGCATTTCCCTGCTTCTATTTATTTGTATTTGTCGGCCCTGTATCTTTGTCCACAGCTTTGTGGGTTTGTTAGAATAGGAAGTGAAGTACTTCCTATATAAGCTCTGGCCATGCTGTGTCAAACTCACGTGCTTCCCCAGCCTTCAGCTCGGGGTAGGAGTCTTCATGCAAATCAGATTGTTTCTCTTTTAGTGTAGGCAACAGCAAGTTGTTGACGACAGTGGTTACCTTAGGCTCTTGACATTCTGCTCCCAAGGTCCAGTGTGGGAACCCTGCCTCCTTGCTCCTCTTCCTTGCTGTTTTTTCCCTTTCTCCTTAGTTAAGGAGACTGGTCTGGATTTCTGAAGGTGACTGTGCTGGATATGTATGAGCTGAAACACTGTCTGATACTGTTGAGGGACAGTAGTGAGCCAGGTGATTTCTTGAATACTCTGTTAGAGGACTTGCGTGCATGTCGAAAGTAGGAGAATCTTTTTTGGATGTTCAGGTTGGAAACACTTCACATTCTCTTTGTCTCCAACATGTTAGATTTGTTGCTTGCTGTAGACTCAGAGAAACATTTCTCTAGCTAGTGACCATGTATCTTGTTATGTGAATTTCACTTATGTGTCACCAACTGGGTTTCTGTCTTTTAAGGAAACCAAATTACAGATTCACACGTGCCTACTTTTATTATTACTGATCCCATCCTGCCTTTATCTTGCTTTATTAATTGCAGGCCAGTAGTAAAATGTTTAATAGTTACATGACCATTAGCATAACCCCAAGATTCACAGGGACTGAGGAAACTAAGATATATTTTAAAAGAGTTTGGATATATGGCAATAAATGAGGAAGGGACAGAGTGATACTTCATGGAGATGTTTTGTGTTGAAGGGAAGGAACCCAGTTTTCTAAGATTTATTTTCTTTAAGAGATTGAGCATACCATATATTTTGATCATAGAATTTTACATACTTTAGATGCTAGCTGTTTTTAAAAGGAAAGAACTCCAAATTACATCTTGCAAGCTATTGTGGTTTTGCAAGCATTGAGTGATGGCATATATGAAAACTCTGAGAGGTGTCATATTAAGATACCAATGTCAGTTTAAAGATATTCTATATCTGTATCCCTATGACATTGTATTTTGAATTTTTTATTTTTCATTTTTGGACAGACATTTAGAACTCACTCAGTGGAGATGGCTCTGCATCTCTGTTTTAAGCTTTTTGAACTCTAGGCAGCTGTGTCGGCCTGGGGCTACATTGACTTCTTCATTGCAGCCCCTCGATTGGTTTCGTCTGGACCAGGGTGGGTTTCGATTGCGGCCCTTGCTGGAACAGTAGCAGGAAAGTAGAAACACCTTCCTGTCTCTGGGTTAACCAGCTGACAGTCTGTTACTTGTGTGCTTCCTTCTAATTGGTAATCTGCCAACACCTTTCAGGATATTATGAAATTTCAAGCAAATGAGGTTAAAATGGAACCTCTGTACTTCTGAACAGGCGTGGACTGACTGCAGTTCTCCAGGATAGTTTCAGCAGAAGCAGTGAGATTACAGTCAGGAGCAAAACAGTATCTGAGCTTTCTTTATGGGAAAGATTCCGACTGTGTGCTTGGTTTATATGGTTAAATTAATTGCCCTTGTTAAATTAAAAAAATAGGGTATGTTTCTGCCACAGACTTTGCTTTAAAAGCAGAGATCTTCTAAAGTCATTTGCCTTGTATTTGACTTCTGCTGCTCCCCGTTTCCTGCTGGGCCTGATGGTTTGATTGTAGAATGTTTCTGAGTTGTGTCACTGTTGGACTCTGCTGAGCTGAGTAGTCTCATTAAAGGAGAGTGTGCATCTGAGTTGAGGAAGACAATATAGATGTGGACCTTGTTTGTAGAGTTCACAAGCTGCTTACATAGAAATAGCAAGGACAGTGCAGCCAGTGGGAAGGAGCCGGCTGAGGGACTTGATATTATTTCCATGGAAACCAGTTGGGTATGGGAAGAGAGGTTGTGGAAGGCAATGCTCTGGTGTTTGGCAATTCACACTGTGCAGAAGAGAAAGCAGAACTGGACTGGGAGTATAGAGTAGCAGAAGTTTAAGCTTGGGGAAGAAGTTGAGCAAGGAAAAGCATATGATCTGTTGATCAGCATGATGTGATGTGGTCTGAATCTTCAGACAGTTCACAGCTTTTTCATAGAGGCTGTCCTCAGATGGGTTCAACCATTCTGAGAATTCTGCCTTTACGATATAAGTAGTATCCATGACATTAAAAACGAGAAGAGAAGCGTTTTGGCCAATGACGGACTGCATAAACTACAGTCTGCATAAATGACCTTGGTCCTAGAAGATTAGGATGAAGCTGAACAATTCTTATCACCTAGTGATGCTGTAGCCATTGTAATGTCGTAGCACAATGCATTAGTCACATGTTTGTGGTAATACTGCTGTAAACGAACCCACTGCGCTACCAGTCTTATGAAAGCGTCCAGTCAGGTCCTAGGCCTTTAGGTCCACTCACTCACTGACTCACCCAGAGCCGCTTCCAGTCCTGCAGGCTCCATTCATTATAAGTGCCCTAGGCAAGTGTGCCATTTTAATCCTTTATACCATATCTTTGCTGCACCTTTTCTACGTTTAGATATGTGTCACATGTTACAGTTGCCTGGGGTATTCAGTGCAGCGTCATGCTGTGTGGGTTTGTAGCCTGGGAACAATAGGACATACCATATAGCCTAGGTTTGTAGTAGGCGACACCATCTATGTGTGTGCAGATACACTCGATGATGTTTGAGCAGTGACAGAATTGCCTCATGACACATTTCTGATGACGTATCGCCATTAAGTGAGTGACTATAAACCAGTCCCCCCATCAGCAGTTACACTTCCTGAGGTTTCAGTTACCCATGGTCACTTGCAGTCTGAAAATATGAAGATATTTTGAGAGAGAGATGCCACATTCACATACCTTTTATTACAGTTATAATTGTGCTATTTTATTATTAGTTGTTAATCTTTTACAACTAATTTATAAATTAAACTTAATCATGGGTATGTATGTAAAGGAAAAACCATATCCGAAACCGTATTCCTGGTTCCAGGCCTCTACTGGGGGTCTTGTATCTGTGATTACAAGGTGCTGCGAAGGGATAACTGTAATTTTTCTATATGACTAGCATTTTATTGAATCAAGTTGTGTAGATGGTTGGCAATATAATAGGAACTCAGAGATCTTTATGCCATACAGAGTCTGTCCTTTTAATGGCATTTATTGTGACAAGATTTAAACTAAAGTTTTGTGGAATGTTTTGCCAGTTTTTGTGTTGTAACTGAAACTAAATGTTTTCTGAAAAGTTAAAACCATTTCTTTAAATGGAAAATAAATGAAGCCGTTTACCTAATTGGTTAAGGACTCACCCGTGGGCCTCACACCGCCTAGGTTAATTCTTCACTTTATAATTCCGTGATGTTGGGCAAGTTCCTCATTCTGAGCCTTGGGATATTTGGCTTCAAAGCTGAGGAACTTGGGAGGGTTGGATAATGGCATCACGTTCTGTGGGGAGATTTGGCTCACATGTTAGCTGTGTGGGTGAGAGCCGTGCTGTCATGCGTTCTTAGCCACTGGCCAGTTTCCTTCTCAAGCCATCAGTAGAGATGCTGATCCTGCATCTGCCAGTCATTGCTCCAGGAGGGAAGACATTACTGTCCCAGAGTGACGGTGTCATTGGGGATAACAGACACTTCAGAAAATGCCACCACTGAGCTGTATGAAGTGCCATGGCAGCTAGTGCTGGAGCTGTGGATTCAGCCGGGGAGCACTGTCTGGAGGAGCTGCTGCAGCACATGTGTGTCTCTCCAGCTGTCAGGCTGGCCTTTGGAGTGCATTTGGATTTTTTGAGAATGAGAGAGGGACCATTGGCTAACTGTTTTACGCTCTGAAAAATGACATAGAATAGCAAAGATTTTACTTATTTTTGCTGATTTTCTAGAACATTTTCTGTCCCAGAGTGATGGTTTTGAAGAACCAGCGTTCTTGGAAAGATGGTTTTGCATCCAGAAGAGTGATTTTAACTAAAATCAGGCTGCCTCCCTTGAGGATGGTCACTGAATTTTGTACAACTGGGACAACGGACAGGGATCCTGGGTTGTTTCCAGTGGACAAGCCGCTTCTGTGGGGGCCTTTGCAGTTCTCCCCGCTCCTCTCCTGTGTCCCGCTGGTTTCCTTCAGTTGAGATGGAATACAGCATAGAGTCAGTGACTTTTAGAAGACTTGACAGAGTTTCAGGAAAATGCTCACTGGGCTTTCTTACCTATCCTGCTGCAGAACTTTTTTTTTTTTTTTTTGAGATGGAGTCTCACTCTGTCACCCAGTCTGGAGTGCAGTGGTGCGATCTCGGCTCACTGCAACCTCCACCTCCTGGATTCAAGCTATTCTCGTGCCTCAGCCTCCCGAGTAGTTGGGACTATAAGCGTGCGCGACCATGCCTGGCTAATTTTTGTGTGTGTGTGTGTGTGTGTGTGTGTGTTTTTTTTTTTTTTTTAAGTAGATTCAGGGTTTCACCATGTTGGCCAGGCTGGTCTCGAACTCCTGACCTCAAGTGATCCTCCCACCTTGGCCTCCCAAAGTGCTGTGATTACAGGCATGTGCCACTGCGCATGGCCTGAAGTTCTTTCTTTCAGAAAATGTATTCAACACATTCTTTTGTGTGTGTTTGAGTGAAGACGGTGTTTCCACACAGCTTGCAGATACTTTCTTCCAGAAGCTTGTTTGTTGCTAACATTTAACATCTTACTGTTACAGCTTAGTTTTCTCTTTGATTGAATATATTGATCTCTTTTTTTTTTTTTCTGTTGGCTTTTTTCTTAAGTCTTTACTTGTGTAAGCTCAGATAACTTAGTCTAGAATGTAGGCTTTTTCTGGGAATCTCAGCTGAATGGTTTCATTTGCTTGGCTGTTAAATGAACCATACTGTTTGGAATAGTTTCCTAATTCTGGCTGTACATGTTCACTTCAGGTAGAGAATTTTCTAACAGACAAACTTTCAGACAAAAAATTTATTATTCCTCAAAGATATCATTACATTTTATTTAGTCTGTAATAATTTTATTGCTTCTGAAACCATTTTCTAGTTCTATAATGTGATCATGGTGCTTTTAAACTTTAATATCAAGTTAATTTTAAGAATGATTTTAGCTTAGGCCATTCTAGGGGCTTGGCCTTTAATCTGAAAAGAAATTTAGAATCCTTTAGTTTCAAACATGTGATTTCTTAAAACTTGTTGTCAGTTATTTATACGATTTTCAAGTTTATTATGAAATAGTCTTTAAAAAATATTTACTTTAGTGGAAACATATCTAGTGATAGTTTAACCAGGGTGCATACCAGAGTACATAATAGTTTTTGGAATATTCTTCATAAATTTTCAGAGAGATTATTTAAACCACATGACTGTTTCTGAGCTCCTGTTGATACTAGGGGCTAGGCATATTCGTTTTTTCTTTTTGAGACAGAGTCTCGCTGTGTTGCCCAGGCTGGAGTGCAGTGGCACAATCTCAGCTCACTGCAACCTCTACCTCCCAGGTTCAAGCGATACTCCTGCCTCAGCCTCCCTAGTAGCTGGGACTATAGGCGTGCACCACCACGCCCGGCTAATTTTTGTATTTTTAGTAGAGACGGAGTTTCACCATACTGGTCAGGCTGATCTTGATCTCCTGACCTCGTGATCTGCATGCCTCAGCCTCCCAAAGTGCTGGGATTACAGGCATGAGGCACCACGCCCTGCCATTAGTTTGTTTTAAAGGAGACATAATGTCCGTTGAAACATCAGAATGTTTTAAGTACTGACAGCTTGCAGGTGTCTTTGGAGTGAAGTTTAGAAACCTGCTGTGACCATTCTTCATTTTAAAGCTGTGACTAAGAACTCTGAGATATTGGTGCCTTCGCCTCAAGTGCTGCTGATGGGTTTGAATGGCATTGAGGTTGCCAGGCCTGGAGGAGGGCTGCCTTGTGCTGAGTGGTTAAATCACCCCCCTGAAAAAAGTCAGTGTTTCAAGTATTTTAATAGGCTCCTCCTTTCCTACTCCCATAACCACTTACATTTGATAAATCTTGACAAAACAAGTATGAAATCCAAGTAGAGAAAATAATATAATTGAATAGAGCAACACTTTTCTTTCTAGCAACCCTGATTTCCAGATTATCAGGACAATATCCCTCATTTTATTCTTTTTTAAATCTTGATTCTGCTCCCCAAGCAAACACACTCTTTACCTTATTTAGATATCCCCTTTGCAAGAATGGTGGATTTCTTTTAAGAAAAGCATAGCAGGCCGGGCGCGGTGGCTCACGCCTGTAATCCCAGCACTTTGGGAAGCTGAGGCAGGCGGATCACGAGATCAGGAGATTAAGACCATCCTGGCTAACATGGTGAAACCCTATCTCTACTAAAAATACAAAACATTAGCTGGGTGTGGTGGTGGGTGCCTGTAGTGCCAGCTACGGGAGGCTGAGGCAGGAGAATGGCGTGAACCCGGGAGGTGGAGCTTGCAATGAGCGGAGATTGCGCCACTGCACTCCAGCCTGGGCGACAGAGTGAGACTCCGTCTCAAAAAAAAAAAAAAAAAAAAAAAAGAAAAGCATAGCATTTTAGGTACGTGTGGATCTCTTTAGCGTTGATTCCTACCAGTTAACTCATTTTAAATGACACCCTCATGCACCAATATCATATACTTAGGATTGTGAAATAGTTTAATGATGCCACTGCCGCTACTTGAAGTTTGTCTCTGTTATCCTGGAGAAACTAGTCATGGCTCCTGAATAAGAGATTAGCATTTTTCCTGAGTAGTAGCCAAGTCTTTGTTTACTTGTTTATCTTGTATCCTGCAACCTGGAATATACACTCCGAGAGGGCAGGGCGTCTTTGTTTTGTTCATTGCTGTACTCTCCTGTGCCTCCCGCAGTAAGTACTTAAGAAATACTTGTGAAACACATGAATAAAGGTTAACGAAGGGCAAAGGAAACAAGCCTTTATTGATGATTTTTCTCTGTGCCCAGTAATACTTGGGTTATTTTCTCATGTCCTTGAGTCATCTTGACTCTAGGAGACACCTCTTAACATGTTCCTGCTGAAAAAGCTGAGCTGAGGAGTCATACCCCGAGGGTATCACCCTAAGATTGGGCACCTGAGTACCCCAGCCTGCTCTTCAGGTCTGTAGCTGCTTAGTGGCTATCAGACCTTCCAAGTCTCCATGCTTTTGAAGGCCTATGTGTGCGGTTTGGTTTCTTGGCAGGGGGGTTTGATGGGTTCCCAGACCTAGGAGTTCTTGGCGCCTCGTCTTCCAGTGACCCCACCAGGGCTGCTCTTTCTCCTCCATTGCTGAAACTAGTTCAGGGTTGGGGAGGAGGGCACGTGGGGGGGCCTGGTGGTTGGTTTTGTGCTGAGTCATTGCCTTGGTGCACTGTGGAAGGAAGCTCTGGGAGGTGGACGGCTCCTTCTGTGAGGGAGTGCTTCTGTCGTCAAGGGAGTACTGCATAGGGTGAATAACACAGTTATGTAGATATATATGGTGGTCTTACCCCCAGGGCCTCCACAACTCCTGGATGGGCCTAGCCTAAGCAATTCTGATTTAACTTATTGCCCCTCCTTTTAGCAATACTGTTGAGTTAAATAACAGTTTTTGCATTGAAAATAAAAAAATTTTATTTTTGTAGAGATGGGATCTTGGTATGTTGCCCAGGCTGGCCTGAAACTGCTGGCTTCAAGTGATCCTCTGGCCTTCGCCTCCCAAAGTGCTGGGATACAGGCACGAGCCACTGGCCAGGTCTTTATTTTTTGCATTTTGCAAGGACATTTTAAGTCACTTTCTTCCTTTTCTGTTTTTACTCCTGCTGAGGAGATGATCCCCATTTTACAAAATGGACAAAACATTCTCCCCAGGGAAGGGAAGAGTAGACATTTGAGAATAATTGTTTTCACAGAACCGGGAAACCACCTATTTTGTCCCAAGTATACTGATTGATGCATTAGCAATAACTCACTATCTGCTTTGCCAGAGGTTTGAACAATGAGTGTTAATGCTTGGTGTAGTGAATTTTGTGTGATTTCGAATCTGATAGCTGACTCATTGCACAGCTCTGTCTTGCGAGTTCAGATCTGAACTGTAGCTCTAAGAGGTAAAAGCAGAAGTGGAGCTGCCTTTCATGCCATAGCTAGTTTTTTAATAAAATAGAGTTAAAAAATCCTTTGGCTTTTCAGCATTTTGGTGTGATTGGAAAGGCTATTACTATCTTATATTCAGCATGAGTCTTGAGCAATTACTGATTAATATGATTTGGCTGTGTCTCCACCCAAATCTCAGCTTGTAGTTCCCATAATCCCCATGTGTTGTGGGAGGGACCTGGTGGGAGGCAATTGAATCATGGGGGCGGTTACCCTTATGCTGTTCTCGTGGTCATGAGTGAGTTCTCACGAGATCTGATGGTTTTATAAGGGGCTTTTTCCCCTTTTGCTCCGCACTTCTCCTTGCTGAAAAAGAATGTGTTTGCTTCCCCTTCTGTCACGATTGTAAGTTTCTTGAGGCCTCCCTAGCCATGCTTAACTATGAGTCAATTAAACCTCTTTCCTTTATAAATTACCCAGTCTTGAGTATGTCTTTATTAGCAGTGTGAGAACAGACTAATACACTGATCTGAGTTGATATTCTTAAATTAATGGTAAGATATTTCTTTTTTTTTTTTCTTTGGAGACAGAGTCTCGCACTGTTGACCGAGCTGGAGTGCAGTGGCACGATCTCGGCTCACTGCAACCTCCGTCTCCCAGGTTGAAGCAGTTCTCCTGCCTCACCCTCCTAGGTAGCTGTAATTATAGGCGTGTGCCACCACGCCCAGCTAATTTTTGTATTTTTAGTAGAGATGGGGTTTCATTATGTTGGCCAGGCTGGTCTTGAACGCCTGACCTCGTGATCCACCCACCTCGGCCTCCCAAAGTGCTGGGATTACAGACGTGAGCCACCATGCCCAGCCAGATACTTCTATTTTGATAATCTTTGAGTCCTGAGGTAGCTTCAGAATGGATTGAACCACAGACAGATGGTGTTAGTAGTTTCTGCCCTGGCTTCTTTGCAACTTAACATACTTGACTTTTTAGTGTTTTTGGCTAAGGAAAGTGTATTTTCTAGTTTGTGGCAGTTTTAAGCAAATGTGGCTTGAATAAAACTAGAGAGAAGTTTAATTTTTGATAAATCAGTGACATTGACAAGTTGTTTTTCTTCCTTTCCAGTTATACATGGGAAGCTGTTGATACCAAAAATAATGTACTTTATAAAATCAACATCTGTGGAAGTGTGGATATTGTCCAGTGCGGGCCATCAAGTGCTGTTTGTATGCACGACTTGAAGACACGCACTTATCATTCAGTGGGTAAGTAGAACTACCTGAAATTACTGGATTGGCAATATGATTCCCCAATTTTGCAAAAATGACTGTGTATAGCTATACGTATATAGCGATACAAAAATTTTGAATGTTTAGAAATCATAAGTGTTTATAATACATAATACACATTTGTTAGTAGTTAAAAATGCTAACGGTTTGAATGTCTAGTATGAGCTAAAACTAGGTTGGTTCTGTCTAGTGGATACTATACAGACAGCTGTTATGAAGAATTATGTAGATGTGTATTTGATATTGAAAGCTGTCTCCTAGATGGCTCTCCCTTCTCACCCACACTTTTCTTAAACCCTGTTTTTACATTCTCCCCCAGCCCACATTTCCTTTTAGTGCTCCCCCGACTCCCATTCCTTTGTACCTTCCAGCTTTGGCTGTAGTTCCCAGACAGTGTTTCTGCTGTCAAAGATGGTCACTGGAGTTAGGCTTACATTAAAGGTTAAATAAATAGTCCTGAGGATTGGCAGTCTCAGAGAAAGAGGTGCAGCCCCTTCTTTCCTAGGGTTCGTTTCATTCCCCAAATGTATGCCTTTTGGGTCAGGATCGCTATCCTTCTGTGAAGAATATGAATCCAAGTGGATTAATATATCAGCACCAGGTTACATAGAGTGGAGTCAGGGCAGATGCCTGAAGGAAGGGAGGCAGGGCAGACAGAAAAGCAGAATGCATTGCCCTTGGATTTGGCAACATGGATGTCCGTGGTGACCTTTCACTAAGGCAGTTAGAATAATGAGGTTTGACCACAATGGATGCTCGTGACATAGAGATGGTATATGACTAGGGACTGTCTGATAACTAGAAGAAGATGCTAGGTGGGCTTTTGGATTTGGGAGAGAAGCTTACTGTGGTAGCTCTGTCATTTTCTTTTGTGTTTTAAACATTTTAATATTTTTATAGATTTGGCAGTTCAAGTGCAGTTTGTTACATGGATATATTGCATAGTTGTAAATCTGGGTTTTTAATACCCGTCACCCGAATAGTGTACATTATACCCAGTAGATAATTTCTAATTCCTCACCCCCCAACCTTTCTGAGTCTCCAGTGTCTGTTATTCCACTGTCCGTGTCCATGTGTACCTATTATTTAGTTTCTACTTATAAGTGAGAACATGTGGTATTTGGTGTTCTCTTTCTGAGTTATTTTACTTAGGATAATGTGCTATTGTTCAATTCATGTTGCTGCAAAACATGTGATTTCATTCTTTTTTATGGCCAACATGTGGAATTTGTCCATAGAAAAGAATGAAATCACACACACACACACACACACACACACACACAAACACACACCACATTTTTTGTTATCCAGTCATCCATTGATGGACACTTAGGTTTATTCCATATCTTTGCAATTATGGATAGTGCTGTGATAAACATATGAGTGCAGGTGTCTTTCTGATGATTTTTTTCCTTCAAGTATATATTCAGTAGTGGGATTGCTGGATGGAATGGTAGTTCTATTTTTAGTTCCTTGATAGATCTCTATACTGTTTTCCATAGAGGACATCCTAATTTACATTCCCACCAGTGTATGTAAGCATTCCCGTTTTTCTACGTTCTTGCCAACATCTTTTGCTTTTTGACTTTTTAATAATTGCCATTCCAGTGGGTATAAGATGGTGTCTCATGGTTTTAATTTGCCTTTCTCTGATGATTAGGGATGTGGAACATTTTTACATATGCTTGTTGGCCATTTGTATGTCTTTAGAGAAATGTCTGTTCATGTCCTTTGCCCTCTTTTTAAAGGGGTTCTTTTTTTCTTTTTGAATTGTTTGAGTTCCTTGTAGATTCTGGATGTTAGTCCTTTGTCAGATGCACAGTTTGCAAATATTTTCACCCATTCTGTAGGTTTTCTGTTTACTCTGCTGTGCAGAAGCTTTTTAGTTTAATTAAATCTTACTTGGCTATTTTTGTTTTGTTGCATTTGCTTTTGAGGTTTTAGTTATGAAATCTTTGTCTAGGCCAATGTCCAGGAGAGTGTTTCCTGGGTTTTGTTCTAGAATATTCATAGTTTCAGATCTTACATTTAAGTCTCCAACTTTTGTATATGGTGAGAGATAGGGTTCTAGTTTCATTCTTCTGCATGTGGCTGTCCAGTTTTCCCAGCACCGTTTATTGAATAGGGTGTCCCTTCGCCAGTGTTATGTTTTTGTCAACTTTGTCAAAGATCAGTTGGTTTTAAGTATGTGGCCCTGACTCTGGGTTCTCTATTCTGTTCCATTGATCTGTGTGCCTATTTTTATATCAGTACCATGCTGTTTGATTACTATAGCCTTCAGGTATAATTTGAAGTCAGGTAACATGATGCCTCCAGCTTTGTTCTTTTTGTTTAGGATTGCTTTTGCTATTCAGGCTTTGGCTACTCATATGGTTCCATATGAATTTTAGGATTGTTTTTCTAATTCTGTGAAAAATGACATTGGTACTTTGATAAGAATTGCACTGAATCTGCAGATTGCTTTGGGCATTATGGTCATGTTAACAATACTAATTCTTCTAGGCCATGATTTTTGCATCTGTGTTCATTAGGGATATTGGCCTATAGTTTTCCTTTTTTGTTGTGTCCTTGCCTTGCTTTGGTGTTAGGGTGTTACTGGCTTCATAGAACAAGTTAGGGAGGATTCCCTCCAACTTGATTTTTTTTTTTTTTTTTTTTTTTTTCAGGGAGTAGTCTCAGTGGGATTGGTACCAGTTCTTTGTACCTTTGGTAGAATTTGGCTCTCAATCTGTCTGGTCCTGTGCTTTTTCTTGGGAGATTTTTAAAGTACTGATTCAATCTCACTCCTTTTTACTGGTCTTTTCAGGATTTCTGTTTCTTCCGATTCAATCTTGGGAGGTTGTATGTTTCCAGGAATGTATCCATTTCCTCTAGGTTTTCTAGTTTTTGAGTGTAGAGATGTTTATAGTAGCCTCTGATGATCTTTTGTCTTTCCATAGTATCAATGTCTACTTTTTCATTTCTGATTGTGCTTATTTGAATTGTGTCTCTTCTTTTTTTGGTTAATTTGAGTAGTAGTCCATTGATTATGTTCATCTTTTCAAAGAACCAACTTTGTTTTGTTGATCCTTTGCATTTTTTGGGGGGGGTCTCAATTTCGTTTAGTTCTGCTCTGATTTTTGTTATTTCTTCTGTTAGGTTTCAATTTGGTTTGTTCTTTTTTTTTTCTAGTGCCATGAGGGTTACATTAGGTCATTAATTTGTGATCTTTATTTTTGATGTAGGCATTTAGTGCTATAAACTTCCCTCTTACCGCTGCTTTGCTGTATCCCAGAGGTTTTGGTCCATTGTGTCTCTATTTATATTCATTTCAAAAAATTTTTACATTTCATCCTAACTTTGTCATTGACCCAAAGGTTATTCAGGAGCAGGTTGTTTAATGTTCATGTATTTGTGTAGTTTTGAGAGTTCTCCTCTTGGAATTGATTTCTAGTTTTATTCCGCTGTGATCTGGAAAGATAGTTGATATGATTTCAGTTTTTAAAAATGTACTGAGACTGTTCTGTGGCCTAACATATGGTCTACCCTGGAGACTGTTCCATGTGCTAAGAGGAATGTATGTCCTGTGGTTGTTGGGTAGAATGATCTTTAAATGTCTTTTAGGTCCATTTAATCCTGAGTCCAATTTAAGTTCAGTGTTTTATTGTTGATTTTCTGTGTTGATGATCTTTCTAGTGCTTGTAGTGAGGTGTTGAAGTCTCTCATTATTATTACATTGCTGTCTATCTCCTCTTAGGTCTAGTGGTAATGATTTTATGAATCTGAGTGCTTTGGTGTGGGGTGCATTTGTATTTAGGATGGTTATATCTTGTTGAATTGATCCCGTTATCATTATTTAATGGTCTTTTTTTTTTCTTTTTTAACTATTATTGACTTAAAAGTCTCTTTTATCTAAATGTTGCTTCTCCCGCTCACTTTTGGTTTCTATTTGCATGGAATATCTTTTCCTACCTATTTACCTTGAGTCTTTGTTTTTACCAGTTAGGTGGTTTTCTGTAAGCAACATATGGTTGGATCATTTTTTTTTTTAAATCTAGTTCACCAATCTATATCTTTTATGTAAAGGATTTAATTCATTTATGTTCAGAGTTAATATTGATATGTGAGGTTTTGTTCCTGTCATAGTGTTAATTGTTAACTAGTTGCTTTTTAGTGTCAATTGTATAATTATTTTATAAGATGTGAGTTTTATACCTTTTGTCTGACTGGGTTAATTCAAACCTGTCTTTAAGCTATTAGATTCTCTTTTCTGCTGGTCTAGTCTGCTGTTCAAGCTTTCAACTGTATTTTGTAATTCCTACAATGAATTTTTCATTTCTGGAATTTCTGTCTGGTTTTCTAAAAAATAGCTTTCTCTAGTAAAATTTTAATTTAGATCCTATATTTTTCCGATTTCTTTGTGTTGGTTTTTTGACTTTCTCTTGGATCTTATTGCGCTTCTTTAAAATCAATATTTTGAATTCCTTAGCTGGTATTTCAAGGATTTCATTTTCTTTAGGGTCCACTGCTGGAGAGTTAGTGTGAGTCTTTGGGGATGTTGCAGCGCTCTTTTTTTTTTTTTTTTTTTTAATACTTCTAGAGTTGTTACTCTGTTTCATTCTCATCTGGATAAACTATCTCTTCTTTATTTTTGAATTTACTTTGGCAGGATTTTTTTTTTTCCCTTGAGAATGTGAATATAACGTATGTTGTATATAGTTGTTTGACTTCAGTTCTGGGTACTTTCAGTGACAGAGACTCTGAGTTTCTTGGTTATAGTTGGCCTTTTTGTGGTAGCTTTCTCAAATGCTAGTGATAGTAATGATGTGCTTGGGTGTGTGAGCAGGATCCTCACCGTCTCCCGCGGGGCCTGGAAGGCAGAGTTCTCAGGAAGTTATTTTGTTCTCCCTTGCTTTGCACTTTGGCAGCAGAATTTATATTGGGTTGTGCAGGCCAGCAGGTGGTATTTATGGGTAAAAACCAGCTGCAGTGGAATCCGATGGGTGGGTCTATGAGTCTCTGTGCTTGACCTTTGTTTAATGGGGGAAGCTCTGTTGCTTCAGGCAGTGGAGTGGTCTGTGGAATGCACAGTGGCCTGAGCTACCTGCTCAGCCCCTGAGTGGGGGACAAAGCTGGACAGAACTGAACTGCCAGTTCTTCTCTTGGATACTCCAGTGGCTCAAGCACCAGCCCTAACAGGGGTAGCAGGGGTAGCTGTGTAGAAGGTGCCAAGGTGTCTGCGGGGAGGTGTGGGGGTTGCTCCAGCTCCATGGCCTGGGCAGGTGGGAGCACAATCTGCCTCCCTGTCACACCCCGTCCTGGCGCTGGGAATATTCAGAACATGAGAATATCGCTGTCTGTCTCAGGCTGCAGTGTAGTGAGTGCTACGAGAGACACCTGTCCATGGCTTACCACCAATGTGTCTTCTGTAGTGAGCCTCCTCCCTCAACCCAAAGCACACACATTTGTAGCTCTCCTGCTCTTTGCCGCAGGAATGCTGTGGGTCCGTGTAGAGAGGGTGAGGCCCCACCTTTCGTGCAAGTCCTGGCTCAGTGGAAGTCGTGCAAGTCCACTGCCAGTGGAAATGCAGCTTCCCCTAACAGCCACAGAATGGCCACTGTCCTGTGTGCCTGTGCCAACCTGTGGGAGCAGCCATGACTGTGCCCACAGCAGTGGGTAGAGGGTGGGGGAGGAGAAGTCCTACTACCCACATCCGTGCCCAAGCACTGAGACCACCTGGCTCCTGGGCTGGAAGCATACTCCTCCCTTGCAGGGCTGAGTACAGCACCCCTGTCTCCACTGCATGTGGCACAGGCCACAAGCCATGCTCCTGGGCACAGGAAAGTGCATGCTCCTTTGTCCCAAGGAGTGCCCCCTTGGCATGCTGTACTCTTTCTTCCCTTAGGAGCAGCACTCCCTGAGGGTAGATCTCTGGGAACCCTGCAGCTCCCCTGGGTCCAGCCAGCCCTGTGTGGCTGCTGCAGTCTCAGCAGGTGCCAAGAAAGGTCTGCAGGGCCTCTGGTGATACGGAGACATCAGTGCTGAGCTTCCCCAGGCAGTCCTCCCACTGCTGCCGCCACTGCCACCCAGGTCCAGTGGAGGGTGAGCAACCTGGCATAAGTGGTAGTCTGATGTAATGCCCTCAGGAAGTCCCCAAATTGCTGCCCGCACCAGTGTTTGGGTTTGTGAGGGCAGAAAAGCTCTCCCACAGTTCGGGTACCAGCAGTCGACCACAGAGGTGAGGGGCAGCAACAGCATTCCCGCCACCCCTTTCAAAGGAATACCAAGTCCCTCAGGGCTCCTAGCCGCTCTCTGCCCCTCTCGTTTCCTGCTTTTTATTTTTTGCCCTCGTTTCATCCCAGGGGTTCTCCACCAGGCTCCAGTGCTCTCCACTTGATACTCCATTCTGGCGACGGTTGCTCACCTGTAACTTGGGTTCTTCTGAGAACCGGCCTCTGGCAACTCTGTTCAGCTGTCTTGAAACAAAAGAAACCCCCACTTGTCATTTTGCATGGAAATTGCTAAACACAGTTAAAAGAGCTTTGTAGAAAGCAGTGTTTAGAGTACGAAGATAAGGGAGTGCGAGGTCTGCTGATTGAGGCCCAGCTCCTGTTTGATTTCCCTCTCTCTCTACAAAGAGACCATCCAGACTGAAAAACCTGGTGAGAGGGATTTGAGGCCTGGGATTGAGATCTGAGAAAGCACTAGATTGTTGTGAATTCTTGGGTCTGACATTATCCTTGGTGATATACTTAGGAAACTTACAGGTGAGATGGCCAGTTTACTCATTGTGCTCTTTTGAGAACTCACAGAGAAAGGCCACAAGTAATTCTGTTGGCCAGTGTTATGTAGGTGTTCAGAAAGAAGGAAAAGTAGCTTTCTTCTTGATTTTATTATAATACTTCAATATTTTTGGCTAATGAAAGTATGTCTTGAGTTTATGGTAGTATAGTATGGTATGGTATAGTGTAATACCACATAGACTGATGCCAGATGGAGGCAACTTACTTGAAGGATAATTTGTGAGCTTGGCCTCACTGGACAAAGTTTGAGTTTGACCAAGTTCTGTGGACCTTGAAAGCCAGGGAGGAGAAGAGTTGTTATTTTTTTGTAGGGAGTGGATCCATTACAGATCTTTTGTGATGGTAACGGGGAGGTGATGTGATGGAAGGTGTTTTTAGGAAGCTGGCCCCGTGGAATAGGAAACGATGCCTACAGGGGAGATACCAAAGATAACTAGATGACTAAAAAGTAACTTACAGGTTAAGATGATGATGATACTATTATAAACCAGCAGTTTCCAATCTCATTTTTTCCCCCAGATATGTGTGACAGATCCCTTTCCCAGAGCTTGAAACTTCCAGAGGGAGTCATCATATATACTTTCAGGACTCTCAGTAACGGCTCCCTTTCTTCAACTGGAGAGAGCAGTTTGTATGAGTCAATGAGAGTGACATTCACAGTAGCATAGGGATAATCCCGAATCAAATCTAATTTGCATATACAATAAAAATACCTAAATTTTGTTGCACATTCATGTGCTAGGCCTAATGTTTAAAAGTAAAATATCTCATTTAATTCATTCAACAACCCTTTAAAGTAGGTGATTTCATTTCCCTCATGTTATAAATGAAGAAATGGAAGCGCAAAATGGATCTGTGTTCTACAGTGGGCAGGTCTGTGCAAATCTGCCCCCGAAGTCCAAGGAAGTTGAGAGGCTGAAGAAGGAGGCTGACACCCAGTTTCTCAGAAAGAAACATTTAATACGGACTTATGAATAGAAGCCACATCTCAAGAAGTCACGAGATGGGATGGATCCCTCTGCCATCACCCACTCCAGACCCAGGGATCATACACCATAGGGAAGGGGTGGTTCAGAAGGAATGTGTAGGACAATTGAAGTAGGTTTTTTGACCTAAGGGGAGGATTCGTGATAATTACCTGCTCTTACACAAGGAACAGTAGATAAACTGGAAATCTTGGAGGCCTTCCTGGAACTGGGGTTAATCGGAAGTCAGCAGGGCTGTTTGGCCTCCAGAATGGCGTTACTTTAGCCTCCACAATGAGCACCTTGCTGGAGGTGGTGTGGTTATGGATTTGAATGTGGACAGCCGGCTCCAGAGCCTGTGTACTCACTCAGGGCTGTGCTTTTGTGTGAGTCATGGGGTCACATCAGACAGATTGGAGCTGAAATGGAGACCAGGATGGGAGATCTGAATGTGTGGCTCTGAGAGGACATCTGAGAACGAACTTCTTTTGATCTTGTTAGAAAGGAAAAAATGTGAACCTTCAAAACAACCACAAGAACTGGAGCTCCCCGCAGATCAGAGGAACAGAAGAGCTAGCATAGAAATAGATCCAAATATGTATGGGAACTTAAGATAACTTACAACCAAAAAATTGGGTGTAAGTAGCTATTGTCTCTTACGAAACAAAGTTCAATCCCTCCTTTAGATCACATACTGAAATTACAGCTCAGTTAAGATTTGAAAGTAAAAAGACAATAGAACATTGGAAAAAAAATTAGTAACATATAGATATAATCTAGAAGAGCCTTCCTTAAGGAATCCTGGAAGCCATACAGGAGAAGAGGAACATTTCTTATTACATACCTTTTAATGACTAAAAGGTGTTCTAAAGACAAAAGACATACACTAGACTGGGAAAAACATTTCCAGCATGTTTGCCAATGTACTATTAGGATGAGAGCTTTTCTTAAAAATTGGTAAGAAAGACAGACACCCAGGAGAAAAATGGCAAAGTCAAAGAACAGGTAATTCACAAAAGAAGAAATCCAGATGCTCAATACAACTTCACTAATAAGCCAGGTGGATTAGTCCTTTCTCACATTGCTGTAAAGAACTACCTGATACTTGGTAATTTATGAAGGAGAGAGGTTGGATTCACAGTTCTGAAGGCTGTGTAGGAAGCATGGCTGGGGAGGCCTCAGGAAACTTAAAATCATGGCAGCAGGTGAAGGGGAAGCAGGCAGCTTCTTCACATGGTGACAGGAGAGGAGTGGGGCGGTGCTACACACTTTCAAACAAGCACATCTAGTGAGAACTCTTATCACGAGACAGCACTTGGGGATGGTGCTACACCATTGGAAACCAGCCCCGTGATCCAGTTACCTCCCACCAGGCCCCACCTCCAACACTCGGGATCACAATTCATCATGAGATTTGGGTGGCGAGACAGAGCTAAGCCGCATCACCAGGTATAAATGCAAATCAGAGCAATTATGAGATCTCATTTTTCTTTGAGAAGTTGGCAGAAATTTAAATGGTTGAATCATAGAGTGCTGGCAAGGAGCCTGGAAATGGGCACATTTATTTATACGTTGCTGTAGGAAGACGGTTGTCTCTAAATCCTTTTGGGAAGATAATAGTTGGTGTGAGGTTGTTTTTTTTTTTTTTTTTTTTTTTTTGAGACAGAATCTTGCTCTGTTGCCCAGGCCGGAGTGCAGTGGCGCCATCTTGGCTCACTGCATCCTCCGCCCCCTGGGTTTAAGCGATTCTCCTGCTTCAGCCTCCTGAGTAGCTTGGATTACGGGCACCACCATGTCCGGCTAATTTTTTTTTTGTATTTTTAGTAGAGATGGGGTTTCACCATGTTGGCCAGGCTGGTCTTGAACTCCTGACCTCAAGTGATCCACCCGCCTTGGCCCCCCAAAGTGCTGGGATTACAGGTGTGAGCCACCACGCCTGGCCTGGTATGAGTTTTAAAGTGCCCTGAAGCAGGGGTCCTCAACCCCCGGGCCACAGACTGGTAGCGGTTTGTAGCCTGTTAGGAGCTGGGCTGCACAGCAGGAGGTGAGTGGTGGGTGACAGAGTGAAGCTTCGTCTGTATTTACAGCCGCTCCCCATTGCTTGCACTACTGCCTGAGCTCTGCATCCTGTTAGATAAGTGGCAGCAGTAGATGCTTATAGGAGCGCGAACCCTATTGTGAACTGCACATGCAAGGGATCTAGGTTGTGACCCCTTATGAGAATCTAGTGCCTGATGATTTGTCAGTGTCTCCCATCACCCCCAGATGGGACCATCTAGTTGCATGAAAACAAGCTCGGGGCTTCCACTGATTCTGCACTGTGGTGTGTTGTATAATTATTTCAATTACATATTACAATGTAATAATAATAGAAATAAAGGGTACAATAAATGTAATATGCTTGAATCATCCCGAAACCATCCCACCCCCAGTCCAAGTCCATGGAAAAACTGTCTTTCATGAAACCAGTCTCTGGTGCCAACAAGGTTGGGGGCTGCTGCCCTAAAATTTTTTATAGTGAGAAACAAATATTAAGACCTCAATGCTGGTTTAAACAATATTACATTATTTTAAATTGAGGAATCATACATTATCCACACATCCAAGGAGCTCAGAAGAAATTAAAAAAATCATACATTAGTTTTTCCTTAGGCAAACAATATTACATATGTGAATCTTAGCAAATGTTAGCCATCATTTTCATAGGGCCTGTGAACAATATTTGGTCCCATTTGCAACCTAATTATTTTCACATTTTAAAGTGGTTTATACATTTTATATGCATTTGACCCTTGAACAACGCTAGAGTTAGGGGCACCAACCCCCTGCACAGTTGAAAATCCACATTTAACATTTCACTCCCTCTAACCTTAGCTGCTAATAGCCTGCTGTTGATGGGAAGCTTTACCAGAAACATAAATAGTCGATCAACACATATTTTGCATGTTATATGTATTAAGTACTATATTCTTACAATAAAGTAAGCTAAAGGAAAGAAAATATTAAGAAAATCAGGCCGGGTGTGGTGGCTCACACCTGTAATCACAGCACTTTGGGAGGCTGAGGTGGGAGGATCACTTGAGCCCAGAAGTTTGAGACCAGCTTGGACAACATAGTGGAACCCCATCTCTGCAAAAAATAAAAAAATTAGCCAGGCATGGTGGTGCATGCCTGTAGTCCCAACTACTTGGGAGGCTGAGGCAGGAGGATTGCTTGAGCCCAGGAGGTGGAGGCCTCAATGAGCTGTAATCAGGCCACTGTACTCCTGCCTAGGTAAGAGAGTAGTGAGAGCTTGTCTCAGGAAAAAACAAATGATAAGGAAGAGAAAATTATGTTTATTATTCATTGAGCGGCAGTGGATCATCATATAAAGATCTTCGTCCTTATTGTCTTCATGTTGCGTAGGCTGAGTAGGAGGAGGAAGAGGAGGGACTGGTCTTGTTGTTCTGGGGTTACCGAGGTGAAAGAAAATCTGTGTATAAGTGGACCTGGGAAGTTCAGACCTTTGCAGTTCAACTGCATTTGATTTCCTTTTCAAGTACCTCAGATGTCTGGCTTAACAGTTAAAATTTCAGTGTAACAATAATTATAAATTTATGAGTATTATTATTTAATAATTCTTATATATTTACTAGTTATGCTAAAATTCTAAAATTTCTAATTCTAAAATTCTCTTAAATGTTCTAATACTGTGTCGTAAGTCTGAATTAATTGCTGAGTTATAAACTTTGGATTGGAGTTATATTAAACATTGCAGTAAAAATACCAAATACATTCACATTTTTTTCTAACACATCAAATATTAATATTATGATTTTAATTAATCTTCTGAGGATTACAGCTCTATATCCATTTCAGGAAGCCTGTTACCAGCCCATTTAACTTGAGGTAATGTACTCACTAAGGAACAGTGTTAATTGAGGTTACCTCTGGAGCCTGGAATTCTGTTTGGCTTCTTGTTGGTGACCTGGTAGGACACAGTGAGTCCGACTGTAGTTGCCGTCCCAGGTGATTCATTTACTTTAAAGAGCCTGGCCCCTGACTTCCAGTGATTTGATAGTGTCTGATTCTTGTATGCACTCACAGAAATCTACAGCAGGCACTGGATTGATCATTGGATTGTATCTTTCATCTCTTTGACTCATAAGATGTGAAAATGCCTTTTCCTCTTAAGTCTTTTATTTTCTTAAAACCTAGAATTCTGTTGGATATTTAAGATGATACCTGGTTGAGTTTTGGATACAACTCATGTTTTTATCTGATTTATGGTCTCTCCTGATAGTCTGGCAATACCTGTTAACATTTTAAAACGTATATTCACATAATCTTTTGTGACTCAAACGGATAGAAGAAGTAGTACTATATGTAGATATTTGTACAAAAGGTTTTTGGTAGCATTGTTTATTGTGGCAAATATGCTGGAACAATCTACTGTGTGGGTATGGTTCAATAATTTATAGTGTATTTTCTTCTTATTTACTTGGTTAAATCATCTAAAATTATATGTGTACATTATATTAAAACATAGCCAACAGTTAATGTTTATTTATAATAACTATTTGACTATCAGTCATATGTAGGCACCGGTTTAGGTACTGGAATTGAATCAGTCACTACAACAGGCAAGAATCTCTTTTTTTCATGGAGCTTACATTTTAGTAGGGTGGGAGACAGATGAAAAAAGCAATGGCTAAGTAGTATGTTAAACTGTGATGACTGCTACAGAAAAGGAAAGGAAGGGTAATCAGGAGTACTGGGGGCTCGGGTGTGTGTGTGAGGATATTAAATAGGGTAAGTGTCACTGAGAATGTGACACGTAAGTAAAGACCTTGAGTTGAGGGAGTGAGCTGTGTGTCTCTCTGGGGGAACAGCCAGTTCAGGGGACAAGAAGGGTAGCCAAGGAGTGTGTTGGTGGTAGCAAGAAAATAAAAATCTTTTAAAAAGAGTATCCATATAAATAGAGAAGCTGGAGGTTAAAAAATTGGATGAGTATTTTTTTTTTTAATTTGGCAAAATAGCGTGAATAGTATATGTTGAAGGAAACGCTAAGTGGGTGGTGCAGGGGAGAGAGGAAGACTTGCTTGAGCACATCGGGAAGTAGGACAGGAAGGGTTCTCTGTTTGCCTTGTAGGTTCTAATTGCCATGGCAATAATATAATTGCTGTGGCCGCTGCGGTAGGCAGGAGGGCTGCCTGTGAAGTCAGGATCACCAGGCTTTGTGGCTTCAAGGAGGCCAAATCACCATGGGCTTGCTTGGGCTTGGAGGTGCGACCTGGTGGGCCTGCAGAATGCGACTTGGTGGCCTGACTGAGCAGCACGTGAGGGCCTGGTGCAGCCTGGCATGGTGGTACCCTTGAGAGCGTGGCCTAGAGGGCTCCGAGGTGCAGCCTGGCCAGTGTGGTCTGGAGGGGTCTGGCAAGCGCTATCTGGAGCACTCAGAGGTGTGGCCTGTTTTTCCGGGTGGGTCTAGTGAGTGTAGCTTGGAGTGCTGGGTGGTGTGGCCTGGCTGGCACCGAGGTCCCTGCGGATTCTGGAGAACCTCAAGGTGCGGCCCCGGGGGTGTGGCCAAGTGTGGTGTGTGGAGGGCCCTTGTGTGCAGCCTGGTGGTTCCTGTGAGCATGGTTTGGAGGGCCTGGTGAATGTGTCCTGGTAGGCCTGGTGAGTGTGTGAGCATGGCCTAGAGTGTCACCAAACCAAAGTGGACCCGCCTGCCTGTGCACCAGGGAAAGCCAAACACCAAAGCGCAGGGTTTTTGCTGGAGAGAGTGGACTGCACTGCGACGAGACAGGAGGAAAGGTCAAACCTGTCTCCCCAAGCTGGCGGCTGGGTCGGGTTTTATAAGCATAAGCTTATTACCATAAGGTAATGAGGTGTGTTCTGATTGGATCTTGCAATTAGATGACACCAGGGCTCTATCTGATTGGATCCTGGATCTTGCCATGTGGTGTGCGCTTCTTATTTCAGTCCCGCTCCTCAGTCCAGCGCTTAGGTTCCTCCCGTGTTGCAAGCTTGGTTCATCTGTGCAGGCTCCGGTGACATGATGTCGAACTGGGAGCCATGGCAGCTGAAAAACAACGAACAGCTTTGTACATAAAAGATGATACAGCTTGGTCTAATGTGGTTCTAAGGAGGCTCTGCCGGCGAGTCTTAGGGGTTCCGGCGGGCAGCCGCGTGAACCTGGAGCTTGGGGTCTGCAGTGCTGGGAGGCCGAGGCCTGGCATGTTGGGGACAGGTCTTGGGAGCTGACTGGGGGCCTGGCGTGGTGGCGGCAGCCCGCAGTCCCTGCCTGGCCCTTGTCTGGGAGGCCGCGGTTCTCTGCGGCCTCTCGCCGGTGTCGCCCTTGGCCACTGGGCTGCGAGGAAGCCGGCGAGGAGTGGGTGTGCGCCCCGCCCGGCTCTACCGGCGAGGGATGCAGTGGCCGCCAGCGTGGCCGTGCGGCTGGGTCACTCCCTTCCCGCTTCCAGGGCCTTTTTCTGCCTCCTTTTCAGGACGTGACCCGCACATTATGAGGGACCCGTAGGGGCTCTTGACACAGAGGGGTCACCCTATGTGTGAACAGGTTACGAGGTTGGGGGCTTGGCTTCTGAACTTGCCAGGAAACACCGCATCCCTTTTCCTGCAGCGGCCGCCCCCCATCCCCCACCCGCCCCATTCTCTCCCCTCCCCAACTGCAGCCTTCCGCGCCTCCTTGGCCCCTCGAGCCTCCCTGGGTCCCCTGCACCTCCCCATGTCCCCCACGACTCCTAGGCCTCTCGCGCTTCCCCAGGACCCCGCGCATCCTGGGCCTCTTGCGCCTCCCCGGTCCTCAGCGCCTCCTCGGCCGCCGTGCCTCCCCGCACCTTTTGCGCCTCATGGGGCTCCCGGTGCCTTCTGCCCGCCGCCTCGCCGCGCCCCTCGCCTCCTCATGCCCCTCCGCGCCCCATACCTCCCCACCCCTGTGCCTCTCTGCCTATCCCCTGTACCACCCGGCATCCTCCGTGCCCCATGCGCCTCACCCCTCACGCCTCCCTGTACCCTGCATGCCCCGTGTGCCTGCTGTGCCCCACGCGCCTCCCCCCTCGCGCCTCCCTGTACCCTGCATGCCCTGTGCGCCTGCTGCGCCCCACGCGCCTCCCCCCTCGCGCCTCCCCCCTTCGCGCCTCCCTGTACCCTGCATACCCCGTGAGCCTGCTGCGCCCCATGCGCCTTCCGCGTCTCCAGCCCTCATGCGCCTCCAGCTGCGCATCTCCCTAGGCGGGTACCTCAGCACCGCTGAGCCCACCCCCGCCCCTGCTCAGTGCCTCCCAGACACGCCCACTGCGGGCGGGACAGTGGGAGCTGTCCAGGCGCGGAGCTGTCCAGGCGCGGGAGCTGTCCAGGCGCGGGAGCTGTCCACGAGGCACTGACCTTGGTTTCAGAGCCTCTGCAGGGCTTCTGTGTCCTTTTGGCTGAGCCGACTGGGCAAAAGTTTTAGAAAAGACCCTGGGTGTTGCAGATGGAGAAGGATGATCGTGGCTGACTTTTGCTTGCAGGCAGAAGAACCACGGGGCCATCAGCCTGGTGCTGTGGGGGCGCGCTGACTCGTGGTCCGCCCCTGCCCCAAGACTTCAGGTGTATATGGGATTGGATCAGCTATCATCCCGAGCTCATGGCACGTACAGTGAGCCATGTGTTAATCCATAGACTAACCTTTTTCCTTTTAAAAAATTAGTTGTTTTGTATAATGTAGCGAGCACTGTTTCCAACAAAAATCTAGGATCTTGGCAGTAACCACTATCTGTTTTACTCTTTCCTCTTTCACTTTTCGCTAGGAGTAATCATTAGCTCCCATCTTGTATTAATTTTTTTTTTTTTTTACTGTATCTAATTTCCAAAAAAAAAAAATCTGTGTGTTTGCAACTAAGTTATCTTCCTATGTGTAACTTTTTGGGACTTAAGTGATAACAGTAATATTACTAAAAATCAACCGTATTGTTGTTTTTCACTGTGGTTTATTCCTTCTGACTGCTGTGATATTTTGTGTGGATCTGCTGAAGTTAATTTATCCACTCTTCTGTTGATGGGCCTTTGGTCATTTCCAGGTTTTTGCTCTTCTGAAGAGCATGAGATATTCTTTCACATTTTCTGCTGTGCATGTTCCATATGTGCATGGTTTTCTCTTTTATATAGACCTGAGTGGAGTAACTAGGTCATAGGGCACACGAATGTTCAATTTTAGGACATAATGTCCTGCTGACTTACATAGTTGTTGAACCAGTTAACATTTCACTAGCAATACAGGAGAGCTCTGAGCCACCTCATGGCTGACACTTGGTATTTAATTTTTGCCAGAGGGATGGTTGTAAATGGTATACCATTTTGGTCTTGATTTGAAATTCCTTGATCACCAGTAACATTGAACATGTCTTAACATATTTATTGATGTACATTTTTCTTTGATTTGCTTGATCATGTCTTGTTCATTTTATATTGGGTTATTGTGTGTGACCTAGATTAGAATTTTTTCTTTTCATTGGATATTAAGATCCACCATTGTGTGGCTAGGAGTGGGTTTTTCCTTCTCTCTCCTTTCCAGCATGGTGTGTGCTTTCTCAGTCAGAGGTAATTCATCGTCCTTTATTTCCTGGAATTATACAGACATTCTTTTCTTGTTTGTTTGCATGTGAATGTGTATGTAGAGATTCTTGATGCTGGTTCTTTGCCAGTTCTGTGTTTTTCCTAGTTTATAACTTACTTCCGTTTTCTTTAAGCTGTTTTTTGATGAGTATAAACTCTTAAATTGAATAGGTCAACCTCATTAATCTTTTTGAGTCTTAAGAAATCTTTCTCTATCTTAAGATTTCTGCCAAGTTTTGAAGTTTGGATTTTGATGTTTACATCTTTAATCCATTTAGACAGGGGTGTCCAATCTTTTGGCTTCCCTAGGCCACATTGGAAGAATAATTATCTTTGGCCACCTAAAATACACTAATACTCATGATACTTAATGATCTAAAAAAAATCACAAAAAAGATCTCATAATGTTTTAAGAAAGTTTACAAGTTTGTGTTGGGCTGCATTCAAAGCCATTCTGGGCTGTATGTGGCCCATGGGCCACGGGTTGGACAAGCTTGTGTTTAGAGTTGATTTTTGTACCCAGTACTGGGTAGGGATCCAATTTTGTCTTTTTCCATATGGAAAACTATTTTGTTTCCAGTTCCGTTTTTATTTCCAGTTCTGTTTATTGAACAGCCTCCTCTTTTCCCTGACCTATTACTTCTGTCATAATCAAAGTTTAATTCACATTTGTGTCTCTGTGCTCTCTCTTCTAGTCGATTGGTCTCTATTCTAGTCTTTTGATCAGTTTATTCCTATGCCAACCCCCATCATGTTGATTTTTACATAGACTTTTTATTCTGGACTGTTACAGTAATGTCCTGGACAAGCAGAGATGTGGTCATTCTACTTGTGGGCCTTTCTAGAGAATGTTGATTTTGTAGCATATGTGATGGGAAGTATTGAAACATTTCAGTGGCTGAGTTATATATCCTGATTTGTATTTTTGAAGATCACACTGGTGCAAGATGGATGAGGAAGTGGGGCTGGCGAGGGATGAGACTAGTGTGGAGGCAGGGGGAGCAGTTAGGTGGCCATTGCTGGAGCGCAGGTAGTGGTTTTAGCGGGAGTAGAGGTGGAGAAATGTGGACAGATTTGAGATGGGCGTATAGCTGTGGACCTTTCTGATGTATAGAATGCAGCAGACAAGGTAAAGATGGCACTTAATGTAATGTAATGGGGATGCCACTCTGAGATGGAAAATTCTGGGAAAGGACAGTTTTATAAATTTATAAGCTATCAGATACATTATAATGCTACTTTTAATTTGCTTTTCCTTGGAAATAGCTGTTTGGTTATGTATGTTTTATAGCCTGTTCACTCTCTTTTCTCTCCAAATAGGTGACTCTGTTTTGAGAAGTGCAACCAGATCTCTCCTGGAATTCAACACAACAGTGAGCTGTGACCAGCAAGGCACAAATCACAGAGTCCAGAGCAGCATTGCCTTCCTGTGTGGGAAAACCCTGGTGAGTCCACACAGGCACTTGATGTATTTCTTTAAAAAAAAAAAGGTCTGCCCCTTGGTGTTCTGGCTGTAGAGGTATTCCAGGAAGAATCAGTGAGCAAACTTAGAAACACAAATAAGAAAAACCCTACCAAATGACCATCATCATCAAGAACCAATAAGTAAACAAATTCTAAACTTGTTACAACTTTTAAGTAAAACATAGACCATGTCTTTTGTAAAACTACAATTCAAAGTGATTACTGTGTTAAAAATCAGTGCACTGTTTAATGTTTAAGTTATAGGCATACTTTTTTTTTCTCTAAAACCTCTTCTTCTAGCATTTCATTTTGATAGGTTTTAGGGCAGCATATTTAGTTTTTTAAAAAATATTTTTCTTTCCTCATTTATATTAAATTAGAGATACCCACATCTATTTAGGAGAAGCCTTGGCCCGTGGGTATGGGGTTCTCAAGTTTTTTGGATATTACCTGGTGTTTAAAGGGGACATAATTGTGTAAATTATTATGATTGTTCTTATTATGGGCATATTGTATGTAATTTGTTGATTTTAATCTTTAGTTTTTGGAAAGGAACTTGCAGTAAATAATTGTTTTAGCTCTTGGGAGAAGGAATTGGTATACAAATTCTATGAATGTTCTTGAATCCCAGTAAGAACCCAATCTTTAGGAAAGTCAGGTTGAGTGAAACTCTGTGGCTACTAAATTGCTTTAAAATATCATTTTAGAATTTGGGACTGTGACTATTGCATCTTCAGGTCCACAGTGTCTTATCTGAAGAACTTTGAAAATAAAACTAATATTGTTAATTTTGGATCCGCATATAAATTGCATCGTTGTGCATATTGAGACCCAAAAAAGAATCTGTTCGCAGCAGCATTAAATGAGATTTATATTACAGAATAAAATATATAGCTCCTGTTTTAACTTCAGCTAATTTCCTTTATGAATTCTGTGTTCACCATACCAGAAATAGAACTGTGAAGGATAACTCCCTAGACTTGCACGTGGGAGTGAAGAGGCCAGTTCCTGCTGTGCTTGTGTCATCCTGCGATGCTGGGGTTGACCTGTTTGTAGTCCACTCTGGTTGCGGTTAACAGGAGGGGCTGCCTTGGAGGGTTGGCGTCTGGTGGGTGTACTAACTTGGTCAGATGCAGATGGGCTCCTCATGGGAGCCTTTTCACGGGAAGCATGAGGTCACGTTTTCTGGCTTTCGTTTGCTGGCATTTGCTTAAGAGAACATTTGGAGTTTGAGAGGAGAATGACTGAGGATTTCTTCCCATGAACTCACTCAATGTACTTGCACAGCTGGGGCGGTAGAATTCCTTTGGATTAGTTACACAAAATCCCAACATGATTTTATGAAGCTTTGGTCTCAGAATTTGCAGATTTGGGAACCTCTTGATGACCCCGTTTAACTAAAGCGGTTGCATCCCCTGCCCTTCTTGCTGCTGCTTTCTTTATTTTAGTAGCCTTTACTGCATTCTCATTTTAAAGAAGAATCTTTACAATGTGTGGTATGGTAACATTATAATTACTATTTTTTTTTAATAGGGAACTCCTGAATTTGTAACTGCAACAGAATGTGTGCACTACTTTGAGTGGAGGACCACTGCAGCCTGCAAGAAAGACATATTTAAAGCAAATAAGGAGGTAACATGGGAACTTCAAATTACATGCTTATGAAGTATACTCTGGGGAACTTTATCTTTCAAATACTGATTCTAACCTTTCCGGGTGAAAATCTTTTTTAGCTTCCAAATTGCATTTGAGCAGAGATACCATGTGATTTAATTTTTAAAACTTTTCTGAGTGGTTCTTATTTTTAGGACAGGGCATTTAAAATATCACAGGATGTGATTTTTGGTCCAGATTGGAAATAGAATGGCTCATCCATATAGGGCAAGTTAGTTCTTGGTTTCTGGTGCTGTGCAACTCAGTAAACTAAGTGACGTGTTTGGGCTTGGGCTTAGAGTATTCACTCTACCTGCAGGAGCCATCTGTTTCTGACGCTGCCTGCTTCATCTTCCTTTGCACCTGGCTTTCCACCTGTGTTGTACCCCGCTTTTGATAAGTCTCCTTTACCTGTTTGCATTGTTAAATCTCTCTGTCCCTCTCCTCAGCCTTGGGATGACTTCTGGCTGCAATGTGAGTCCAGGTCAGGTATCCCTTAAATTCTTTTCCAGCTCACCTCAGAGACTAGATTACTAGGTTACTGTTACTATTACGTCCACCCCTTATTATTTGAACCCAGCATTCCTTGGTCAAGACATTCTTCTTGGGTGCATGTATGTATATATATCTATATACATACACACTGACCTATATGTATTATGTGCAACATGATATTTTGAAATATGTATACATTGAGGAATGGCTACATTGAGCTAATTACATATGTGTTACCTCACATATTTCGTTTTTTTTTTTTTTTTTGTGAGGACTCTTAAAATCTACTCTCTTAGTGATACGCAAGAATAAATTACATTGTTATTAACTGTGGTTGTGGTGGTGTTTAATGGATCTCTTGGGCAGGTCATTCTTGTTGACTAATGGAATGTCCCCTTCCCCAGCCTGGATTCCCTCATGTTGCACTGCTACTTGATTCTCCCTGGTCCTGGGGAAGAGCAGACTGTGTTCCTTCTGCCGCTTCTCCATGCCCACCACCCCAGATCCTAAAGGGAATTTCCTGTTCTCACCTTGATAACAATCTTAATTAATTGATTATCTCACTTTTCTCTCCTACTTTCTGTTTTTAAGAACTTTCAAAGGTTGTAAGGATTCAGGAACTAATGAATGGTCATAATCAGTAATTTTTACTAGTGGCCTAATACCATGCAGTTTAATAAGACAAAAAGAAATGTTTATTTAAAAACATTAATTCAGATTAAATTATGAACAATAAATCACTGATATTTTCAGATATGGTCATCTATGAAGGGAAAGACAGTGTCATATGGAAGTGGAAGTGGTAAAATACTGCCCAGGAAAGCCATAAGGAGCATTCAATGAAAAAAAAAAAGTTTAAAGTGGAAAGAATTAAGGCTGATATTTAGGAGACAGTGTCAAATGTAAGCTTCATTTAAAAACTTAGGTGAAGCTGTTAGATGACATACTGTTAGCGGTGGGAAAAGCATCTCAAAGCAGACATCTGTTTGGGGTTTGGGGGTGAGGGTGGGAGCACAGTGTGTTCATTCTCGCAGTGCTATAAAGAAACACCTGAGACTGGGTAATTTATAAAGAAAAGAGGTATAATTAGCTCACAGTTCCGCAGGTTGTAAAGGAAGAATGGCAGCATCTGCATCTGGAGAAGCCTCAGGAAACTTACAGTCATGGCAGAAGGCAACAGAGTATCGAGCACCTCACGTGGCCAGAGCCTGAGGAAGAGAGTGGGAGGGGGAGGTGCCGCCCACTTTGAAATGACCAGATCTCACAAGAACTCACTCACTATCATGATAATAGCAAGAAGGGGGTGATGGAATCTGCCCTCATGATCCAGTCACCTCCCCAGGCCCCGCCTCCAATGTTGAGGATTACAATTTGACACAAGATTTGAGTGGGGACACACAGTCATCCTGGGATTACAGGCATGAGCCACCATGCCCGGCTAATTTATATATATATATATATATTTTTTTTTTTTTTTGTTTGTTTGTTTGTTTATTTGTTTGTTTTGTAGAGACGGGGTTTCTCTATGTTGGCCAGGCTGGCCTTGAACTCCTGACCTCAGGTGATCCGCCTGCCTCGGCCTCCCAAAGTGCTGGGATTACAGGAGTGAGCCCCTGCGCCTGGCCCCACACACAGTCATCCTCAAGTGTCCAGTTGGCCGGATCTGAGTTGCTTCCTGTGGGAGGTGGAGGCTGCGGTGACAGTGGTGCCCTCTGCTCTCCTGTTAGACCCCAGACCTCTCAGTCCCACAGATACTCTCCTGGGCTCTGATTTTCCAACCTGATCATGATACCCTTTTTGTTTTGTTTTGTTTTTGTTTTATCTGAGTGTACCTCTTATGTCACGTTGCTGAATTGACAGTTGTGTCTTCTACCACCTAGGAAAAAATTGCTTTCCAAAATAAAATGAATAGCAACTTGTTTTCAATGGGTCAGAAATCACCAACTACAGCCCATGGTTCAAAGCCTGCCCTGGCCTGTTTTTGTACAACCCCAGGACTAAGAATGGTTTTCACATTTTTACAGGATTGTTACAAAACAAAGAGGAATATGCCACAGAGACCTATGTGACCTGCAAAACCCAAAATGTAGATACCACATGGTTCTTTGTAAAAAAAAAAAAAAAAAAAAAAAGGTGCTGATCTGTGTTCTAAATAGTTTTTGGGGTGGGAATGGGGAGGTATAGTCTGTGTTTTTCTCAAAACAATGACATTTAATTTCTCTTAGAAGCAGATTGAAGATGCATGAGAAACATTTGTACTTTGTACTCTCTTACCTCTTCAGGTGTAATTGGCAGCTGGGGCTTTATTCATTGAGTTTTCATTTATTGAGAGCCTATTGTGAGCTAAGCAGTAGGAATTTTGTTAAATTTTGGAATGCTTTCAGGGAGCCTATAGACTAATGGTGTGAAGGACATATCCATATTCATTAACTCATTTTTTTTTGTCTTATGGATAGATTAAATGGAAAGAACTGAAAAGCATAATGACTGCTAAAAATGTAGTGCTGTCACTGTTAGCAAATCTTAATAAAGCGTATGCCCTTTTTTCTGCTTTCAGTTTGATTTGATTACACCTTACAGGCTTGGTATGATAAGTTTAAAACATATTGAAGGTTTATGTACTTATAAAAACCTCATCATTCCCTAAAGAAAAAAAATCTCAATTTGGTTTAGTGTCATTGTAGTCTTGCTTTCTACATCTTACTAATGTCTCATTTATTTATTCATTTTGCTCTGTCACATTTAGAATGATTTTGATGGGCAAAAATCATGGTAGTTACAAACAGCCCTTTAAAACTATTGTTATACTTTGTTCAGTGGATTCTGGTAGAGGCTTTAAGGTAATTATTTCTTTAAAGCATTGTGTAAATATACCTCCTACTGTAGTGCCCTTGGGAACAGGCAAAATTCAGAACTGGCCTGCTAGCAGTCTTACCAGGGTTATAAAAGTAAGATTATTATATATAAAACAGCATTAACTCAATGCGTGGTGTGTTGCAGCTGGCAAACAACCTCGCTCCCCAGGCTGCTAAATTCGTGGTCTTATGAATGTCTCCATTGCTGTGTTTGCTGTAGCAGGAAGTGGGAGGGTGTTCCCCAGTAGCCTTGACTGTTTACCAATGCACACTCCAGTTCTGTGGAGTGCTGTGTGAGGCATGTCTTCTCTTCCCTCCTGGAGTAGGGAGACAGCCAGTAGTTGCTACCTGCCCCGAGCAGGGTGCTTGCAGATCTTGCCTATGTGGAATCCTCTAAGTGTCTTGGTGAAATGCAGCTGTTTTCAGAATGAAGAGTTCTTTCATTTTCCCTTCTTGCCATATGCCATCTTGCTCCCTTTTCCATCATAGGCTTTTATTTTGCTGGTTAGAGAATTGCATCTTGTCTTGCATCCTACCCAGTCCACTGACTCACTCCCCTCTTGGGTTAATGTTTTCATATGATCTTGCTGTGGGATGACAAGCTTTAGATTTGCAGGATAATGGGCACTTGTGGCTTTTTACTGTAACCCAATTATAGTCTGTGGCAATAATTTTCTTTTAGTTGCCTTTCTGCATGAATCTGGTGGTAGGCTTAAGCTCCATGTGCTGGTACCCTCTGAGCACTAGAGGTTCTAACTTCCTCCATTATTAGTAGAAACACTTAGGTGTCTGAGAAGTATTTTAGGCGACAGGCAACTTTGCTTTGAGGATATGGTCAAAATGAGTTCAAGTGCCTTTGAGGCTGTGAGTAGGTGTAGGTCGTTTGATTCACTCTATTAGCTCTCCATGAATCTCTGACAGCAGGACTGGGGAAAAAGGTTAGTGGGTTAGAGCATTCCTGCAGATTTGATAGCCTATTTCTAAGAGAAATTTGAAAGCTAAATATTAAGCAGTTAACTTTTGTAAATAGACCTGTCTGTGAATTGCTTCAGTCTAAAAGATAAAATTTTGGGAAACTTATCCACAGAAAATAATAAAACTATCTACTTTGAAATGATTTCAGAGAACATGAAGTTTTAGAATATTCTTTGGAAGAGGTAATTAAAATGATGCCAGTGTATTATTTTGGAAATAAAACTTACAGGAATGTTTCACATAGTCATGGTTCACTTGGTGACCAGGGCCTTTTTTACTCTGGGGGGGATTCCTTTCTGGGCTTGAGTTCTTGCTGTGATGCGGAAGTTGGGTGCCCCTACTTCATGAAACTGTACCGCAAAGATGTGGGTGCCCCTACTTCATGAAACTGTACCGCAAAGATGTGGGTGCTCCTACTTCATGAAACTGTACCGCAAAGATGCGGGTGCCCCTACTTCATGAAACTGTACTGCAAAGATGTGGCCTCAGAGCCATGGTTTCTGTCCTGGGCAGGGAGTCTTGCAGCCTGGGGCAGTTTCACCATCTGAGCACAGACCCTGATATAGTTTGGATTTTGTCCCTCCCCAAATCTCACATTGAATTTGAATCCCTAATGCTGGAGGTGGGGCCTGGTGGAAGGTGATTAAATCATGGGGGTCCCTCATGAATGGTCTAGCACCATCCCCTTGGTGCTGTCCTCATGACAGTGAGTGAATTCTCATGAGATCTGGTTGTTTCAAAGTTTCTGGTTGTTTCACTCTCACCGTCTTGCTCCTGCTTTTGCTGTGAGATATGCTTGCTCCCACTTCACCTTCTGCCGTGAGTGAAAGCTTTTTGAGGCCTCCCCAGAAGCCGAGCTATGCTTCCTGTACAACCTGCAGAACTGTGAGCCAGTTAAACTTCTTTTCTTTATAAATTACCCAGTCTCAGGTATTTATAGCAGTGCAAAAACAACCTAATACAGACTGCTTGGGACTGGGCTGGCTTTTTTGGCCTGCTGCCAGCGATGGGCCACAGGTGGGAGACTCACTGAGTTAAGGGCATTAGAACTTGGTGGGTCCTGCTATTGCCTGCTATGCTGTGGAGCTCAGGCTGCACCTCTTTTTACCATGTGGGCTCTTTGATGTGGTAGAGGCGCCTCTGTCCCTCCCCAGAATGTTGCCCTGGAGGCCCGCTGATCACCGTTGGGGCCAGTGCTTGTCTCAGCTGTTGGAGAGCCTGAATATGTGCTTGCCTGACCCAGCTCCACCCAGCTTTCCTTCCTCAATCTGCCTTGCTGGCAGAACACAAGACAGTGATGCTTAGGTGTCCCATGGCCCCACCCATTGTCTGGGACATGGGAGTAGCCTCCTCGTTAACAAAAGCCAAGCATAAATCCTGTTGCCACCACTGCAGCTGCCTCTTTCCTGCAAGTACCACTTCCTGGCCAGGAGATGAACTTGCGTAGCCCATCTGCTGAGACAAGTGCACAATTGCACAGTGCTACGGCAGGAGACAAGCTTTCCATGACCTCAGTTACCATCATCCCTCACCACACCCTGGCTACTCAGAAGGCCCTGAGCCTGCTCACCAGCCTGGTATATTACTACTACAACTGATGTTTGAGAAAGTCACCACACAAAGCCTATCTATAACCAAGGAATTCATACAGTCTTTGACGCTGAAAGCGTCCAGAAGCAAAGCCAAATAAAACTATGCAACATACATTATAGTCACATTCTCAGGGCGGGGGGAACCCTCTAGTCAAAGCAAAAGTAAATTCAAACCAAAAAGTGACAGTTTCTCTAGATGAGAAGGAAGCAGGGTAACAATTCTGGAAATATGAAAAAGCAGGGTGTTATAGCACCCTGAAGGATCATATTAATCTTCCAGAAACAGATCCTAACCAAAGTGAAATGCTTGAAATACTAGTTAAAGAATTCAAAATATTAATTTTAAAGAAGCTTAATGAGATACATGAGAAAGTTGAAAACCAATACAAAGAGATCAGAATATCAATCCAGGATATAAATGAGAAATTTACCAAAGAGATGTTTTAAAAAAATCAAGTAGAATTTCTAGAAATGAAAAATTTATTATAGGAATTATAAAATTGAGTTGAAAGTTTCAACCATAGACTAGACGAAGCAGAAGGAAGAATCTCAGAACTTGAAGACAGGTCTTTTGGATTAATCCAATCAGGCAAAAACAAAGATTCAAAGGAAATGAACGAAGTGTTTGAGAAACGTGGGACTACATGAAACATCCAAACCTATAAAGCATAGATATTACTAAGGGAGAAGAACAAACAAAATCTGGAAAATGTATTTGAGGACATAATTGATGTAAACTTCTTTAGTTTAGCAGGAGATCTAGACCTCCAAATATAGGAAGCTCAAAAAATTCTAAGGAAATATGTTGCAAGGAGGACTTCACCACAACATATAGCCATGAGACTGTATGAGGTCAACATGAAGGAAAAAATCCTATCCACGAGAAAAGTATCTAATCACCTATAAAGAAAATCCCATCAAACTAATAGGGGACTTCTCAGGAGAAACTTAAGAGCCAGAGAGATTGGGTTTCTCTTTTCAAGGTGCTTAAGGAAAAAAAATCTGTCAACCCTGAATTTTGTATCCTGCCAGAATAAGTTTCATGTATGAAGGAAAAATAAAGTCTTTCTCAGACATGCAAATGCTGAGGGAATTTGTCAGTACTAGATGGACCATACAATTAATGCCCAAAGGAGGTCTATACAGGGAAACAAAAGTTTGATACTTGCTATCATAAAAACACACAAAAGTATAAACACTCTTATAAAACAATTATTCAAACAAGACCACAAAGCAACTAGGAAACAGTTAGCATTATGACAGGAATAAAACCTCACATATTAATATTAACTTTGAATGTGCATGGATTAAATGCTCCACATAAAAGATACAGATTGGGAGAATGGATTTAAAAAATAAAAGACAGAATCCACCCATATGCTGCTTACAAGAAAGCCAGAACTAATTGGTAAAGACATACACTGAAGCTAAAGGGATGGAAAAAGATATTCCAGGCAAATGGAAATCAAAAGCAAGCAGGAAGACCCACCTATACTTAGATAAAACTGACTTTAAATCAACAACAGTAAAAAAAAAGGAAAAAGATGGTCATTATATGATAAAAAGATTATTCAACAAGATGTAACAATCTTAAATATGTATGCATGCAACTCTAGAGCACAAGATTCATAAAACAACTGCTGGTAGACTTCAGAAAAGAAATGGACAGCAATGCAATAATAGAATTCAATCACTGAGAAAGAAAATCAACAAACACGGCACATAAATTGGATTCAGGACCACGTAGACCTAACAGATATTTATAGAACATTCTCCCCACAGCCGCAGAACATATATTCTTCTCATCAGTGCATGGAACGTTTTTCGAGATGGACTATATGTCATACCAAAAAACAAGTCTCAATAAATTGAAAAAAACCAAAATGATACCAAGTATCTTCTCAGACCACAGTGGAATGAAACTAGAAATCAATTCACAGAGAAACTCTCATAACTATACAAATAATTGGAAATTAAATAGCCTGCTTCTGAATGAATTTTGAGTCAACAATGTAGTTAAGATGGAAATTAAAAAAAAATTGAAACAAATGAAAGTGGATACACAGCATAAAACCTGCGGGATACAGCAAAAGCAGGGCTAAGTGGGAAGTTTATAGTGTTAAATGCCTACATCAAAAATAGAGATCACAAATTAACAACCTAATATCACACTTCAAGGAACTAGAAAAAAAAGAAAAAACCAAATTGAAACCTAGCAGAACAGAAGTAACAAATACCAGAGCAGAACTAAATGAAATGGAGACCAAAAAATGCAGTACAAAGGATAAAAAAAATGAGAAGTTGGTTCTTTGGAAAGATAATATTCATAGACTGTTGGTCAGATTAACCAGAAGAGAGAGGATTCAATCAGAAATAAGAAAGTAGACATTACAGCTGATACCACAAAAAAGATCATAAGAGACTTCTGTGAACATCTGTGTACTCACAACTGAGAAAATTTAGAGGAAATGTGTACATTTCTGGAAACATTCAAGTTCCTGAGATTCAACCAGGAAGAAATAGAAATTCCAAAAAGACCAATAACAAGTATTGGGATTGAATCAGTAATTTAAGAAAAACAAAACAAACAAAACAAAACAAAACAAAAACCTCCCAACAAAAAAAGCTCAGGACCAGACAGATTGACAGCTGAATTCTCCCAGAGGCACAGGGAAGAACTAGCACAAATCCTACTGAAACTGTTACCAAAAATCAGAGGAGGGAATCCTCCCTAACTCATTATTTGAAGCCAATATTATCCTGATAACCAAAGCCAAACAAGCACACAACAAAGAAAGAAAACTAGAGGCCAATATCTATGATAAACAGATTCAAAAATCTCAACAAAATACTAGCAAACTGAATGTAACAGCACTTCAGAAAAATAATACATCACGATCAAGTGGGTTTTATTCCAGGGTTGCAAGGATGGTTCAGTGTATGCAAATCAATAAATGTGATTCACCATTTAAACAATTTAAAAAAAAGTCTGACCATCTCAGGAGATACAGAAAAAGCATTTGATGAAATTCAACATCCCTTAATGAAAAGACAACACTCAAAAAATATTAGAAGGGACATACCTCAGAATAATAAAAGGCATATACGACAGAACCACAGCCAGCATCGTACTGAACAGGGAAAAGTTGAAAGCATTTCCCCTAAGAAGTGGAACAAGACAATGATGCCCACTTTTTCATCTCTCCTATTCAACATAGTACTGGAAGTCCTACCTGGGGCAGTCAGGCAAGAGAAAGAAAACGCATCCAGATCAGAAAAGAGACAGTCAACGTGTCTCTGTGTGCTGATGATATGATCTTATACCTAGAAAACTCTAAAGTTTCCTCCAAAAGTCTCTTAGATTTGATACGTGAATTCAGTAGTTTCAGGATACAGAGTCATTGTACAAGAATCAATAACATTTCTACACACCAGTAATGATCAAGCTGAGAATCAAATCAAGAAGTCAATCCCATTTATAATCACTAAAAAAAAAAAACCCACTAGAAATACATTTAGCCAAGGAGGTGAAAAATCTCTACAAGGAAAACTGTAAAACACTGATGAAAGAAATTGTAGATAGCAGAAGTGGGAAAACATCCCATGTTCATGAATTGGAAGAATCAATATCATTAAAATGATTATATTGCCCGAAACAATCCACAGATTCAATGCAATTCCTATCAAAATGCCAACGTCATTTTTTATGGAATTAGAAAAAGTCCTAAAATTCATGTGGTCCCCCAAAAAATCTTAATAGCCAAACCAATCTTAAGGAAAATGAACAAAGCTAGAGGCATCACAATACCCACCTACAGATTTTACTGGAGGGCTATAGTAATCAAAACAGCTAGTACTGATAGAAAAATAGACACACAGATTAATGGAACAGAATAGAAAACCCAGAGTCAAAGCTGCATACTTACAACCAACTGATCTTTGACACAGTTGACAAAAACATACACTGGGGAAAGGACACCCTATTTAGTAAATGGTTCTGGGAAAACTGGACAGCCATATGCGGAAGAATGAAACTGGACCCCTATCTCTTACCACATATAAAAATTAACTCAGGTCGGATTAGCGACTTGAATGTAAGGCCTGCCTGAAACTATAAAATTCCCAGAAGAAAACCCAGGAAAAGCTCTCTCGGATCTTCGCCTAGGCAAAGAATTCATGACTAAGACTTCAAAAGCAAATGCAACAAAAATAAAAATAGAGAAATGGGACTTTATTAAACTTAAAAACTTCTGCACAGCAAAATACATAGTCAGCAGAGTGAACAGACAACATACAAAATGGCCAAAAGTGTTTTTAAACTCTACATTCAACAAAGGATTGATATTCAGAATCTACAAAGAATGCAGACAACTCAACAAGAAAAACCACAATCCCTTTAAGAAGTGAGCAAAGGACGTGAACAAACATTTCTCTAAAGAAGACATACAAATGGCCAAGAATCTCCTAAACATACTCCACATCACTAATCATCAGAGAAATATACAAATTATTATAAAACCACATGGAATACTATGCAGCCATAAAAATGATGAGTTCATGTCCTTTGTAGGGACATGAATGAAACTGGAAACCATCATTCTCAGCAAACTGTCGCAAGGATAAAAAACCAAACATCGTATGTTCTCACTCATAGGTGGGAATTGAACAATGAGAACACATGGACACAGGAAGGGGAACATCACACACCTGGGACTGTTGTGGGGTGGGGGGCGGGGGGAGGGATAGCATTAGGAGATATACCTAATGCTAAATGACGAGTTAATGGGTTCAGCACACCAACATGGCACATGTATACATATGTAACAAACCTGCACGTTGTGCACATGTACCCTAAAACTTAAAGTGTAATAATAATAAAATTAAAAAAAAAAGTTTAGGAAAAAAAAAATAAACTGCATATATGGAACGTAATAAAAAAAAACCCCACAATGAGATACCATCTTATACCAGTCAAAAATGGCAATTATTAAAAAGTCAAAAAACAACAGATGTTGGCAGAGTTGCAGAAAAAAAAGAGAACACTTATACACCATTGGTGGGAATGTAAATTAGAATGACCTTTATGGAAAATAGTATGGAAATTAATCAAAGAACTAAAAATAGAACTACCATTTGACCCAGCAATCTCACTACTGGGTATCTACACAAAGTAAAAGAAATCTGTCTGTCAAAGAGATACGTGCACTCGTCTGTTTATTGTGGCACTATTCACAGTAGCAAAGATACGGAATAAACGTTAAGTGCCCACCAACGGATGACTAGGTAAAGAACACACACACACACACACACACACACACGTCTATCATGGAATACCACTCAGCCGTAAGGCAGAATGAAATCCTATGTTTTGGAGTAATATTGGTGGAACTTGAGGCCATTATCTTGAGTGAAATAACTTAGTCAGACACCACATATTCTCACTTATAAGTGGGAACTAAATAATACATACACATGGACATAGAGACTGGAATAATAAATATTGGAGCTTCAGAAAGGTGAGAGGGTGGGAGGGCAGTGAGGGTTGAGAAATGAGAAATTTCCTAATGGGTACAATGTACAGTATTCCAGTGCTGGTTACACTAAAAGCACAGACCTCACCACTGTGCAATATCCATGTAATACAACTGCACTCGGTCCTCCTAAATCTAAATAAAACAAACAAAGAGGCACCCCCTTAAAGCTCAGGGTCTTGCCAACTCTAACAGTGGGGTTTCTTGATGTTTTTTAAAATAAAAAGACCATTAGTTCATAGGTATGAGAGACTGTCATAAATTAAAACCAAGTAAGGATGGATTGAAATACCCACAGGAGGAACTCATCTTCACAGTTTATGGAACAAATATAGAACAAATATTTACTGAGCTCCCACTATGTTGTAGGCATCATCTTTAGCCTGCAGTGACAAACCCTTGACCTCAAGGAGCCCCTATTATAGTGGGGGGAAAATGACAAAAGTCAACAGATGGCAGTACCTAGTATCATACATCACAGTGCTGTGAACAAAAGTGAGGCTGAGTATGGGAGACAGAGAGAGGTAGAGAGTGCTGTTTTAGGTAAAGGTGTCAGAAGAGGCCTTACTAAGGGCGATGTTTCATCAGAGACCTGAATGAAGTGAGGGAAAGAGCCATGTGTATATTTGGGTAAGCACATCTCAGGTAGAGAGGACTTTTGAGTTTCAGGAGGGTAGAATTGCATCAAGAGGTGAGTGTGGCTGCGTTGAGTGAGGAGAGTGGTAGGTTAGGGCGGTGTCATGAAGGAGTTGGAATTTCCTTCTCAGTGTAATGGGAAGCTGCTTTGAACAGGGAGAGGTGTGGCCTGATTTAATTCTGAAGTGCTAATCCTGTGCTTGTGGAGACATGGGCTGAGGTAGTAGGGCACTGAAGCTGGAATTGGGGGGCCAGTTAAGATACTATTGCAGGCAAGAGATTATGGTGGCTTGGACAGGGTGGCGATGGTGGAGGTGATAAGTAGGGAGTGGATCCAGGGTTTAGTCTGAAGGGAGAGCTGGCAGGACTTGCCGATGGTTGGATGTAGACGTGAGAGAACTTGGCGGTGGGGCAGGGGGACCTTAAGGTTTTGGCTCAAGCAACTGGTTGAATGATGGTGCCATTTGTTGAGATGAGGAACACTGGGGTAACAGTAGGTTTTGGGGGAGAAATCAAAGGCTCATTTTAAATTTAAATACATGAAATTTGAGATGGTTTTGTGTATCCAAGTGATGATGATAAACAACAGCAATAAATAACACTTATGCCAACCTGCCAGGAGCTGTACCCCAAGCTTCACATACATTAGTTCACTCAGGCCTTACAGCAGCCCCATGAAGGAATAACTGTCATTATTCCAGTATGGCACGTGGGGAAGCTGAGGCATGGAGGTTAACTTCATTCATGGTCATGCAAAGTGTTCATGCCAGAGGTTGAACCCCAAGTGTTCTGCTTCGAGTCTGTGCTTATAAACGTAGCTTCTGCTATTGTTGGCTGTGTAAGCCTGCAGTTCTGTGGAAAGGTCAAGGCTAGAGACATGAATTTGGGAGTCTTTGGCAGACATTTATAACCATGCACGAGGTCACCAAGGGATTGGGTGTAGACAGGAAAGAGGGCTGCTCAGTAAGCTGTGGCACACCTCTGGATTGAGAGTCAGTTAGAGGGAAGGTGAGAAGTGTTTCCAGGAGGCTGAAAAAGAGCTGGAAGTGGGGCAGAAGAAAACCAGGAGCCTGTGGATGCAAGCCACAGGAGAAGGGGTTTCATGAGGTGGAGAATGATCAGTAGCATCCAGTGCCACAAGAGACCATGTAACGGGAAGGCTAGGACACGAGCACTGGATGTGTCAGCAGAGATGTTGTGGGTGAGCTGGTAAGCGGGGTTTTGCTGGAGTGGGAGGCAGCAAGCTGATGGGACTGTGTTCAAGAGAGAATGGAAGGCAGGAAGAGGAGAAGACGTGTAGGGACAATTGAAGAAATTTTGCTCTAAGTTGCAGAGACATGAGATGATAGCTAGGGGAATGTAGGGACCAGGAAGGACGTTTGTGAGGTGGTAGATCTCATGGCATGCTGACGGAAACGATCCAGTGGAGAGGGAAAACCTGGTGATGTAAAGTGAGAGGAGATGATTGCACAACAGTCCTCATGTAAGAGAGAAGAGATACCGAAAAGAACGCAGAGGAGCCAAGACGTTTATTGACCTTTGCCTGAGTTCGTTATTAGGGGACACCATAGCATGATAGTCCCTAAGGAATGGAGAGCAGTGTTGTGTGACATTGGTCATAAGCTTTTCTGATTGACCAAGATGTATACTGAAGACTCACTTTTTTCTTCCTCCCTTCCAGGTGCCATGCTATGTGTTTGATGAAGAGTTGAGGAAGCATGATCTCAATCCTCTGATCAAGCTTAGTGGTGCCTACTTGGTGGATGACTCCGATCCGGACACTTCTCTATTCATCAATGTTTGTAGAGACATAGGTATGAATCTTTGTGGGGCTGAGGGGGTGGTGGTGAGGGATTTCTTCTATGGCTTCAATATCTTTGCCTTTCTACCTTTATTTCTGTTTTCACATCCATGTTTCTGATTAGGCCCTCTAATAAAGCTTTTGTCCCCAAAAATGTTCTATTTGCACAACCCACCTCTTCTCCCCCAGTAGATTCCATGCCTCCTCCCCAACCCCTGTAGATTCCATCCTAACTGTTGATCCATTCCATGTGGGTGTTCTCTCGGCCAGACACCTTGGGTTTCGGGATTCTACAGAAGTGAGGGTCGGTCTTGTTCTCTGTGTGTGCCTGAATCCCTTGGCTCTGAGTTACGGGCTGGGTGAAAAAGAAAAAGGGATGATCAAGGACTTGGGTACTTGGTCGGGATGCATATTTGGCCCAAGCTGACTTGTTCCTTTCTCTGTACTTGCCAAAACTGGTGTGAGAAGCTTTAGCTTAAGCTTTAGAATCTTTGATAAATTAACTAAAGACCGTAAATAAATGGTCTTTATCTAAAAAGGGCCATGAAAAGTTTTACTAAGCCTTTGACTAGCCTTCAGCTGGTTTTACTAAGCCAAGTTTCTAAAACCCAGCTTGATGTTCCCCTCAGGGCTATGAATTGTTAGTCCTGTAGGCCAGGACTGTCTTTCTGCAGTGCTAGCCATGAGTAAATTCTGCTGGTGATTAACTAATCTAAAGGTCATTTTTAGTGTTCTTCTTTGTTTTTTATTTCTCAAATAGTACATAATGCTTTGCCCTTAGAAAAGTTTGGAGAAAATTTTAAAAAATAAACTCAATACATGGAAGTATTGCTGGATAGTAGATGAGTATTAATTTATGATTATTCTTTAAATTATATATATACATTATGTACTATCTTGTTTATGTATTATTTCTAAACAGTTAAAAACAGTAAATATACCCCATTCAGGGCTCACCAAAAGTAACCAATGATAACTAGGTTTTTTTGTGTGTGTTAGAGTATTACATCTTTCTTTTGTTCTCCAAGGATAACCTTTATTGATTTTTTGGAAAAAGACTAATACAGTCTTTGTCTTAAATGGGTCTGTAACTCAAGTTTGGTTATAGAGTTGATGAGTTGTAGATTATTGAATTCTGGAATAATACGCTATTTTGATTTGGAAAACATTTAGGTTTCTGGTCTCTTAACATTTTACAGATCATCTGAATTTGCTGAGTATTTTCTTACAAGTTTTTTCTTTCCAATTTATTGGCAATTTGAGTAGAGCTTGAATGACTTTGATTCACAGTAGGGGTGCCCTAGTTTTTACTCAGACATTCTCCATTCCCAGGAAATTGCCCTAAGTCTCAAACCAAGATTGAATGTGACCCTCAAAACCTCTTGGATAGTTTCGGACTTGCCATCATGTGCTTACCTCCTTGCATCCTCAGGGCGCTTGCTGTGTATTCTGCCTTTGGTATACCAAGTGGATTGTCTTACACTGAGTCCCCATGAGGGCAAGGAGCCTATGGCACAGCAGATACTATAGGTGGAACAAAGCAGTCCATTTGTGAAATTTCATAATTCCACATAATTTCATAATTGTTTGGAAGGCTTGAGAGTTAAAGGTTTGCTTACCTCTTCACTAGCTGGTGCAAAGGTAGATAACCCTCTCCATCTTTGATTAATAAGGCAGGTAAAACTTAAGGGAGGTAAGATTATTCACTCACTCATTCGTGGGAGAAGGGTTGTTTGAATCCCTTCTGTGTGCTAGGCACTAATCTAGGCACTGGATTATAGCACTGAACTCACCACAGTTCCTGTTTTCCTGGAACTTTAGTTAGATAGGAGAAAAGATAGATAGTAAACAAATAAATCCCAAAGTATACTGTGTAAGGTATTGAGTCATGGTCATAGAAATGAATGGTAAAGAGCAACCTAGCTGTAATCATAGCTGTTGCTATACTGGCAATCTGTAAAGCCTGCGGGATGTTCTGGACATATTCTGGGTATGTTTTCATCTTTAATCCTCCACCAAACCTGTGCAGTAGCACACTGGCAATTGGATAGTTTTGTAGTTAGACCAACGTTATCGACATAGTAAGTGGTCGATTTAGGATTTGAACCCAGAGCTGTGGGTTCTTTCCCTAATCTCCTAATTGTTCCAGTCATCTGTGGAGTGCCTGCATTTTCTAGTCTCTGTAGCTTGAAAGGGGATAGTGCTAATGTTGTTGTACCTCAAGCAGAGGATGGGTACATTTCTTGATTACAAATAACATCATAACCTGTTTCCTGTGCACCTCTTATATACCAGTGCAGAGCCAGTACTTTACAGTCCTTCATCCTGAGCTTTGTTTGCAGAGGGTTAATGGCTTGCCCAAGGTTTCAGAATAGTTACTTAGGGAGACTTTTAGGAATTCAATAATGTATTTAAAGGGACCCTGGGTCTAAGGGTACGTGTGATTATCACTCCTAACACCTAATCTGATTTAATGTAATACATGATTTTCAGACACACTACGAGACCCAGGTTCACAGCTGCGGGCCTGTCCCCCCGGCACTGCCGCCTGCCTGGTAAGAGGACACCAGGCGTTTGATGTTGGCCAGCCCCGGGACGGACTGAAGCTGGTGCGCAAGGACAGGTCAGTCAAGGCCTCCGATGCTGTTGGCGTTTTTAATCTCCAGCAAGGACCTGACTTTCAGGGAGCTGCAGGAACATCCTTTTTCAGCAAGGCTTGGGATAGTCCCTGCAGCATTGCTGCTTCACATGTACTTGTAAGATTGTTGGTCATTGCTGTGAGTCACATAGTCTAGTGTGCTTGTCTACTTTTTAATCATTTGTCTCTTACAGCAGTAAAAATACATCTCATGATCCAGTCCATAGTACATACCTGTATTTGCCTCATGAAATAATGCCTATCTTAAGGTGCCATCTGATATTTTTCATTCTGTGGCACCCGTGAAATTGATTTTGTGTCCATTGTGTTCTCATCTTGGGAGGGCAAGAGACAGGAGGGACAGTTTGCTGGTGACCTTCACTGGGATGTGACAGGGACCTTGGTTCCCAGTGGGGAATGGTGTTCCTTATAATGTGTTGTGCCGTGTACATATGCTCTTGTACTGCCTTTGTATCTTGCCTTGGCAGACATACGCATTTCTCTAGTGTGTTGCACATGACCATATCCTGAACTTCGATCAAGGATTCACATTTTCTCCCCATTCAGAGGCCTTTGGTAGACACCTTGTTGTGCTTGCTCTAGTCTGGAGCTCGTGGCATGTCTGGGTGGTTGTAGGGAGCATGTGCAATTATAATGGCACTCTGTCCAAAGAAAAAACTTGAGCGTAACCTGAGGGGAAAAGTGTTTGGAATTTTCTATGTGTGTGTCTGTATTAGTTTGCTCAGGCTGCCATAAGAAAATACGATAGGCTGGGTAGCTTAAACCACAGAAATGTATTTCCTACACAGTCTAAAGGCTGCATGTCTGAAGAAGGCGTCACCGGGGCTGGTTTGTTCTGAGGCCTCTCTCCTTGGCTCGTTAGATGGCCGTTTTCTTTCTGTGTCTTCACGTGGCCTTCCCTCTGCGGGGGTCTGTGTCCGAATCTCCTCTTCTGATAAGGACACCAGTGATTTTTTGGATTAAGGCCCACTCACATGATCTCCTTTTTCCTTGTTCACCTCTTTAAAGGCCCTGTCTCCAAATATAGTCACATGCTGAGCTATGGCTTAGGCCTTCAACATACAAATTTTGAGGGGAAACAGTTCAGTCCATAACAGAGTCTTTAAGTGACACATTGGTAATTCTTAATATGAATGAGTTTGTGTGACGATTTAGTAACATGTGGGACACTGAGCAAGTGTGAGCTTCTCTTGTGGGAAAAGGCAGGTCATCTGTGATCAGCTATTCTCTAGCAGGCAGCCAGGGGCACTGGGCCCTTTCCACACTGAGTGCAGTAAACCCTGGTGGTGGGGGCCATGTTGGATGGTGGTTTGGGTGGTGGAAGAGAACCCCAGTTCAGTAACTGCTGTAACTGCTGGGCAGGTGCTGTGGGGTTAAGACAAAACAAAACTTTTGGCTGGCACTTAGAATTTGTTGTATAAAGAGGAAATGATTGACTAGCCTTGTGGGCAAAAATGCACCTGGCCTGCTTGTCTGCCTTTTTTTTTTTTTAATTTTGTTATCTCATTTACAACCGTTTTTTGCTTGTTTTAGTCAAATGGTGTTTCTTCCTTTTTTTAAAAAAAATAATTTTTTTGTTCCTTTTCTCTTTCCTTATTCTAGGACATGAAGCAGATCAAACAGGTTTTGTTTTTGTTTTTGCTTTTGTTTTTGAGATGGGTCTTGCTGTGTCACGTAGGCTGGAGTGCAGTGGTGTGATTTTGGTTCACTGCAACCTCCGCCTCCCTGTTCAAGTGATTCTCCTGCCTCAGCCTCCTCAGTAGCTGGGACTAGAGGCGCACTACCATGCCCAGCTAATTTTTGTAGTTTTAGTAGAGATGGAGGTTCGCTGTGTTGGCCAGGGTAGTCTGGAACTCCTGACCTCAGGTGATCCACCACCTTGGTCTCCCAGAATGCTGGGATTACAGGCGTGAGCCATCGCACCCAGCCAGGTTTTCTTAATATATCAAATTTATGTGCTGGTCACTTTAGATATTTGATTTTTTAACAAAATAACACTCACTGGAGTTTACTTAAAACTTTTTTTTTTTTCAAATGGAAATAAAGTCATTTTATACCATATCTACTTTTATATTTTAATATTTCTTCTGTTACCCTCTCCTCCCCCCCAAGTGAATGTGCTGAATGCTCAGGGCAACATATGAATTTGGATGTACTTTATACTTTTGTAATACTCTTTTCTCAATGTGGCTCTCCCAGGCTTGTCCTGAGTTACGTGAGGGAAGAGGCAGGAAAGCTAGACTTTTGTGATGGTCACAGCCCTGCGGTGACTATTACATTTGTTTGCCCGTCGGAGCGGAGAGAGGTAAGTGACTCGTCTCCTGATCACTAATGTGGCGCACAGTAGCCTGGGTTGCCCATGCGAACGCGTTTCTGGGCTTGGGGCAGGGTGGGCCTGGATGCAGGAAGCTGGGAGCCATGACAGAGGCACTGGTGGGTTCTCAGGAGAAGACAAGCTTCCTGGGATAGCTTCTGTCACATGCAGCTCACTCAGGGAGAGCTGTTTGCATTTTGCCTTTTGCTTTTTTACAGCAATCCGGAGGGGCCTCCACATATAATGGGATGGTGTTTTGTTCTAGTCTCTGTGAGATTATTTTAAGTAGTTCACGGACAGATTTTTTTTTGGTAGTTGGGTTGTTTTAGTGAATAGTGGAAAAACGAAGTAGAATTTCAAGCCTGTGATTTCTTATGAGAAGCCTTTCCCTCCCTCTCTCTTCCCAGTCTGCCCCTAAACCCCCATCCATGCCTTCTCCCCTCTTTCTCATCACAGGCCAGTTTATTGCTGTGCCCTCTGCTGTTGATGAAATCTCCAGCGCAGCTGTAAACTCTTCGAGTGTGGCTGCTGAGACTTACTTGTCCTTGAGTGCCCAGCGCCTGCAAGTGTTTTAACCAGGGGCAGGTGCTGATGGAAAGGAGGCGTCCCCCAGGGAGGGAGGGGTAGGGCAGGGCTTTCCTTTAGTTTCTTTCTGCCTTCTTAGTAATAGGGTGAAGTAGGGAGGGGCTGAATTCTTTTGCCAGAGAACCACACTCCCCTTCCCCCAAGCAAATGTGGAATTTGCTCTGACGTCAGGCTGGCAGCTGGCCTGGTGTGTGTGGGATATGGAGACAGTGCAGGGCTCAGCTTTCCACTTTCTGTCCCCAGACTTCCACATCAAGTGCTGTCAGCTGAATGAAGGCCGGAGTGTCTGATGTTTGTTCTGAATGTGAATGGGGAGGAATATTTATTCACACTTTTCATTTGTACCTACAGATGTGAGTTGAAATCTTTTAAGCCCAGTGAGATGTTCTCAGGCGGTAGTGGTTTTAGTGTTTTCCCTTTTTATTTGTTCTACATTTGGTAAGAATCATTTTACACTGTGAGAACCAAGAGAATTGGGAGTTTTCCTCCTTTTTCTTCGAAGGGGTATGAGGCATTTCTTGGTGTTAGAAGAAGAGGCTGATTTGTTATTAGTGGAGCAAGAAGTTCCCTCTGTTTTTTTTTTTTTTTTTTAAAGACAGTGTCTTGCTCTGTCGCCCCGGCCGGAGTGCAGTGCCACGATCTCACTTCACTACAATCTCCGCCTCCCTAGTTCAAGCAATCCTCCCACTTCAAGCAATCCTCCCACTTCAGCCTTCTGAGTAGCTGGGACTACAGGCATGTGCCACCACGCCTGGCTAATTTTTGTATTTTTAGTAGAGACAGGGCTTTGCTATGTTGCCCAGGCTGGTCTTGAACTCCCAGGCTCAAGTGATCTGTCCACCTCGGCCTCCCACAGTGCTGGGATTACAGGTGTGAGCCACCGCACCGGCCAGGTTTCTTTTCAAGCTTAACTGTTCACTGGGCAGACCTTGTGTGACATGTGCTTGGACACTGTAATACTTGGGAGGTTTGTTTAAGCATTTACATTTGCTCATTGAATGATTTTAGGAGCTGGTATTTAGTAAACACTCACCTTGTCATATAGATCATTTTAAAAATGCTTTATTTAATTTATTTATTGGGTTTACATACTGTAAAGTTCAGTTTTTTTTAAGTACAATTCAGTGGTTATTAGTATTTTTTTTTAGAACTGTGCAACCATCATCACAATCTAATTTTGCATTTCCATCACCCCAAAAAGAAACCTCCTGCCCATTAGCAGTCTCTTCCCATTCATACCCCAAGCCCTGGCAACTGTCCACCTTCTTCCTGTCTCTGTGGATTGGCCTTTTTTGGATGTTTTATGTCAGGAGAATCCTACACTGTGTGGCTTTCTGTGCCTGGTTTCTCTTACGGAGCCCTGGGGTCTGCATCACCATGTGTCAGACTGCACTGAGCCACGTGGGCAGAAGCATCGATTATGAGTCAAACAGAAGAGGGTTGGGCCTGCAGCTCTGCAACTTACTAATTGTGTGCGACCTGTTTGTAAACCTGGCACCTAGTGCCTGGCGTGTAGCAGGTGCTCAGTGAGTATTTACGGAATGAATGGTGCTGGGAAGCAGCACGGCTATGCCCGGTGCTAAGCCCAGTAAGTCGTGTCTCCTAAGGGTGATTAAAAAGCTGGCAGTGACATTCCTGGTGAGCAGGGACCCCATCAGCCCCCTTCATGGCTCACATCAAAGACGAATGGTGGAGCTCCTGCTCTGTAGAAGCAACACAATGGCAGAATCGGGTTTGTGTCTGGGTGGTGCCCTGGCTTCACCCAGGAGCAGGTGTGGGTACAGATATGGTGGTGCCCAGGATCCCAAAGGGGTTGTGGACCGTGTCTCTGGTTGTGCACGCATGTGATAATGTTCACTCAGTGTCAGGGTTGCACCACTCCAGTTGAGCACCTCGTGGAAAGCGGTGAATGGACCATGCACCCTGCACGGCCTGTTAGCGCTTGCCGATGTCCTAGTGATTGCCACGTGCCACTGAGTCCAGGTGCTTGCTGGCCGAAGCTTGAGTGTCTCTCTGAAGGTGACTAGACTAGAAAGGGAATAGAGTGTAAAGAGGAAATGGAGGTGTTACGAGTCAAATGGAAAAAAAATAACAGTTTAGAAAAAAATTAAAAGTAACTTTACTGAGTTGTTATAAGTCAAATAATCTTAATGTGTTAGAGGCAATTATGATTCAAAAAACAGAAACAGCAAAATGTAGAAACCTAACAACCTGTCTTTGAGCTTTTCATAAGTGTGGAAAATCTGCATTAAGCTGCATGAAACATTTTTTATTTTGCTTCTTTCACATTGTTCCTGATAGGGCACCATTCCCAAACTCACAGCTAAATCCAACTGCCGCTATGAAATTGAGTGGATTACTGAGTATGCCTGCCACAGAGATTACCTGGAAAGTAAAACTTGTTCTCTGAGCGGCGAGCAGCAGGATGTCTCCATAGACCTCACACCACTTGCCCAGAGCGGAGGTAAGCAGGTGCTTTCTGCCTCCTGGCGCTGCTTAGGAAGAAGGGGATCGAGAGAGGGAACGGGACAGTAGGGGCCAAGTCAGTCCATGCATGCTTCTGGGTTGGAGAGAGCTGTAGTTTGGGCTGGTGTTTCAGAAATAGGATTCAGGTTTGACTAAGTAAGACTGTAATCTTCTAATACCTATTCATATAAAACAAGCCTCTTCTTGTTAATTTCCCTGTTTTTAGGTTCATCCTATATTTCAGATGGAAAAGAATATTTGTTTTATTTGAATGTCTGTGGAGAAACTGAAATACAGTTCTGTAATAAAAAACAAGCTGCAGTTTGCCAAGTGAAAAAGAGCGATACCTCTCAAGTCAAAGCAGCAGGAAGATACCACAATCAGACCCTCCGGTACGTCAACAACCTCTGTGCGATTTTCCTTTTTCTTTGTATTTCTTGAGATAGGGTTGCACTCTGGCGCCCAGGCTAGACTGCAGTGGTGCAATCTCGGTGCATTGCAGCCTTGACTTCCCTGCCTCAAGTAATTCTCCCACCTCAGCCTCCCGAGTAGCTGGGACTACAGGCAGGCACCACCATGCCTAGCTGGTTTCTGTAGTTTTTGTAGACATGGAGTTTTGCCATGTTGCCCACGCTGATCTTGAAGTCCTTGCCTCGGTGATCCTCCCACATTGGCCTCCCAAAGTGCGTGGATTAGAGGCGTGTGCCTTGGGACTGGCCTGCATAATTTTCAAGTGCGTTGTGTGTATTCTTGTGAAACATAACTCCCTCTCCTTTTCTTCCTCTTTCCATTTTCCGTAAGGTACGGGAGAATCAGTTACTCCAGCATTCCTTCCTAGTAGACTTCGGCAAGTTGCCGTTTGTCACTAAACAATCAAATGTTTTTCCTGGCTTTAGAGTAAGAATGCTTCTGTTAGAACTGTTCACTTTATAAACTTGCTGTTTGTACGGAACCTACTGTAGGAAAAGTATTTAATGAGTTTACAGTTGATAGGGTTTTTTATTTTAAAATTCGTTTTTAAGGAGTTTTGATTTTTCTCTGGCAGTTTGAGAATCTGAAGCACCATCAACATAACAGAAAATTTTAAACAACTAAAAAAATGCATTCAGCACATTTCTTTTGACCCTTAACTTGGTAGTTGACCTTCATAAAAGCAGGATGAAAATGCAGTTTTCTGAAAATGTGTTAGGGGCAGTTACGATTCAAAAATTAGGAACAGAAAACTGCAAAAACCCCAGAACTGGTCTTTGAGCTTTTTAAAAGCATGGAATATCTGCCGAGAAGCTGCATTTTAAACATTTTATTTTTGCTTCTTTCAAATTGTTCAGGATCAGTATAGTCCAAGGCCCCTCAGGCACGGCTGTGTTCATGGCGGCTGTTAAGAAGGCTGTCTAATTCTTGGGCGTTATTTATTTTGTACGAAATCTAAAAGTGAGAACAAGAGAAGTCTTCATGCTCACAGCAAAACCTTCGGCACTTTCTTCCAGCCAGTTACTACTTTGAAGCGAGAGGATGTCAAGTCCATACATTTGGAACTCATTTCCTGTAGATATTTTTCCCTAGCTGGCTAGAGAGCTTGCTGTTTTAGATCCGTAGTGATTTGTTGATGCTACGCAAAAGGCTTAATGTAGACATTTAAAAAGATTCAAGTTTTTTTCTTGGTTCTCCCAAACACATTTGTCTGTGTATTCACAAAAATCTAGATATTCGGATGGAGACCTCACCTTGATATATTTTGGAGGTGATGAATGCAGCTCAGGGTTTCAGCGGATGAGCGTCATAAACTTTGAGTGCAATAAAACCGCAGGTAAGTGTGCGCTGGAGTTCAGCCCCTCCTCTTTGCATTCATGGGCATGTGCTTGTGTGTGTGCACAGGCGTGTTCTTGGAAGTGAACACTGAATGGAGGAGTCAGATGCCCTCCTTTGGACTGGCCAGCTCTAGCCCCCAGACTGGGTTTTTTCTGTTGGAGTAACACTTTCCCCACCCCCACTGCCCCAGTGGACACACACACATCCTGTTTGTGTTTTCCTCGGTTTTCTCTGTTTGTTTTGGGAATGGGCCCAGCAATGAGCTTGTTGGGAAAGTTTTCATCTTGAATTTTGGTGCACACTAAACTACAGCAAGGACAGATTCGGCAGGGGCGGGATGGCTTGTCAATTTTGATTGAGTGACCTCTTCTTTTATGTAATGAGTATCAAGATAATCCTTTTTGCAAAGTGGTGACCCTATGGTAGAGTTTGGATCTGGGGATTGCAGAATGTCACTGGGTGCATTGAAGCTGAAGGCGTGCATTTCTCTGAGTAATGAGAAGCACCCTTGAGTCACCAAGGCACTGGCATATCAAAAAGCGGTGCCGCTGTCCATATCTTGACGATTGTAGACACAGTTGTAGCTGTAGAGAGATGATGGGATTCCGTCATCATCAGAGACCTGCCCCATCTGTTGACCCCCAGGCTGTGACTCCAGGCACCCTGCAGGGCATCCCACCACTGCTCAGAGCAATTCTAGGGCCCATTCTGGTTTCCAGCCTAAGTGCTGCCCCACCCAGAGGGTCTTTCTGGCCCTTGCTTCCGTGTGTTCTGTGTGTTTTTCTACAGCAGAGCTTTGGGTGGCTTGGTTACAGGATGGGTTGCTACAGGATTCACTGTGGGATGAGGGAGAGGCAGCTGGACATGATGTGAACCATGCTCTCGAAGCCTCCGGAGATCAGGTCTGCGTTGGGAGAGACAGGCACCCCTGCCCTGGTAGCACCGCACCCCTGCGAACGTCCTAGCAAGCAGGCAAAGAACCAGCCCAGGGTCTTGCCACTGGGAAGGCTTTCAAGCCCAAAATGCCCCAGTAACTGCTGTTGTGGCACCTGCCCCTGGGATGCCCTTGTTCACAGGTCTGCCATTGCTGTCCTTGTTCTCTACATGGCCCCTTTTGTTACTTTCACAATACACACATTTTTTAAGTACCTATTTGCTTAGGCCCTATGAGGCTGGAGGGTGTTGTGAGGATAGATGGCTCTCTAGGTGTTCACAGACTAGCAGCAGAGAGAGATAAGGAGCATGATGATGGAGGTTCAGGGCAGTGCTGCTAGAGTAGAGCGAGTGCTTAGTGTTGTCGCTCCGCTGCTTTACCAGGAGGGAGGCACCGAGGTCAGCTGGCTGGGGTCTGGGCTGGGTGCAGGGGTCAGGCAGTTCAGAGAGGAGGAAGTGCTGCCTGAGCCACACTACATTGAGGAGCATGCCAGTCCCGTGTTGGGGTGGCTTTAGGGCCTGGGCCTCCAGACATTCAAAGGCATGGACCAGGGGAACTGCGAGCAGGTTAGAGGCGTGTATGGGGAATGTGGCTGAAGATGACCCTGGAACGGTGAGTGTGCAGTATTGTAAGAAACTTGTATGTCCTGCAGAGGAGCTGGATTATATCTGGAAATCTGTGAAGTCCCAAGGATTTTCAGCAGGGGTATGACATACATCTGACTCGTGAATGAGAAAATCAGTGTGGCCTCTGGATGGACCTCGCATCTGGTCTGAGCACTCCCTGCACCCCTCAGCTTCTCCATCATTCTCTCATCGCCCTCACCTCCTAGCCTACCTACGCTACTAGCCTCCTTAGCCATGTCTGCACCCTGAATCACGTCTCTCCTACTTGGTGTCCCCAGTCCCCAGGGATGCAGCCTGTATCTTCCCCATGTGCCCAGCCCCTCTGATGCCTGACCTTGGTTCTGGCTCCCAGGTCACCCCAACTGGCTCTCCTGGACTCCGGCTGGCTCAGGCTGCTCTGCTGTGGTCTGAATCTCCCTGCAACTTTGTGATGACCTCCTTTGGCCTGTTCTGTTCAGGGCTTTTTATTAATGACTTGGCCGAGATCTTTGAGAGTGTGCTGATCTCATTTGGGGATGCTGGGAAGACAGAATCATTATCCAAAAAGATCGAAATGGACGAGCAGGATATGAGAAGGGCATTATATCGTTTCAGACTTACAGGGAAGAGGTGTGGACATCGATGAGCTGCCAACCAAACAAAAAACACAGGAGAGAAAAACCAAAGAACAGAAAGAAAGAAAAATAGAAAAAAAAAAGAAGACCCGCAGTAGAGTGGGGAGATCTTGCCTTGTAGTTATGAGCATAGATGAGGCCACACCCTCTGGGTTTGGTTCCCAGCTGCCCTAGTTTTTAGTTATGAAATCATGGGCCCAGAGGGAGCTAAAGCCCAGATGAGCTGAGGCTTGACAAAACGGGTGAAGGCCTCCCATAGCTCCATTTTTCCTTTTCATTATAAAAATTTTCAAACATGGAACATTAAAACAGAAATTTACATGCCTGCCACTCTGACAGCCATTGATGTTTTGCCAGATTTTTCATGTAAGCCATGCGTCATTGATGGCTCATATCACCCCACCCTGATGCCAAGAACGAACATTCCTTTATGTAAATTCAGTACCATCGTTGTACTTAACAAAATTAACAGTGACATCCTGATGTTAAAAAACCCATGTTTTCCTAGGCTGTTTTCATTATGATTGTAACAAGGAGCCTGGACAGAGAGATGTCAGGTGTTTTGTGGGAGGGTTTTGAGCTGGCTCTCAGGCAGGAGTTGGATTAAAAAATACTTACATTTCCTTCCAGCTCTGTAATTCAGCACTCCAAACTCTGAGAGCAAATTGTGTACTGTAAAATTAGTTCATTATTATTTTGCTCGAATTTAAACTTAGAGTTTTTGGAGAATATCCCTTGGTAGACTCTGTTTATTAGATAGATGTATTTTTGAAGGTGAACGAGTGTTAATTGGCTATGTAATAGAAGTGTGGTTTAAGTTGGATCTCTAGGAATTATTCATGTGAATCTAGGTTCATGTACTTTTCAGGATGCAAGCGCATCTTTTGGTCATAATATTTTTTACCAGTTTAAATCTAGTTTGTTGTAAAGCGATGCTTTATTATTGGTGATTTTTTTAAATAAAGATGTTAGATAATTTTTTGGAAGAGCAGAATTCATTAGGATAGGCTAATAAACTACTCACAATTTAAGTGGCTCAGCCCATTAAAGGTTTATTTTCTTAGTTCAGTGCTAGTCTTTGGGGATGGGGCTGGGGTCGGGGGTGCGGGCTCTGCTCCATGTGGTCATTTGGAGACCTACGCTTTTTCCATCCTGTGTTTCTGCCATCTGCAGATGTGACTTCCAGGGGCTCTGCAGGATGGGAACATCAATTTGCTTTGTTTTATTTTTTTTCCAGGCCAGAAATAAGTCACTTGGCCCAGCCTGAATATCAGGGGAGGCTGGGAAACGGAGTTTAGCTATGTGTCTAGAGGAAAAATTAAACTAGTTGGGTAAGAGGTAGCATTGTTTTTGCCACAGAGAAATGGGTGCTGCTGCCTCCTCCTTAGGCAGAGAGCTCCTTGGTTCCATTTGAAAACCTTCCTTCCCCTTTTGCTGGAATTGAGAGACTGAGGACACAAAGTGGTGTGCTGGAGAATAAACTAGAGCCTGTGGTGCCAGACTGGCAACTTGGGGATTGTGTGAGTGAGGGAGAGATTGTGCAGAGCTAATCCTAACATTGCTGATGAGTGGACAGAAACCATAGGCCTCATGAATAGTGATTTCTGAAGTCAAAGCCCAGTATGCTTAAATATCAACCCAAGTGGTTTGGGAGAGGGGAGCACAGCTTACTGTTCTGCTAAAATTCTTTGAGGAATTAAGTAAGAATACGTGTAAGGTACGTAGCAATGGTTATTTACAAAATGGACTCTGCCTGCAGATTATTAGTATGTCTCAGATGTAAAACCAGCTCAAAAGTACTAGGACGATTTGTAGTAGTATTTAATTATTTGTAAACTTACACGTTTTTCTTCACGTTTGCAGAATACAAATCTTTGTCAGTAGTGAAATGTGAATCTAGTAGGATTAAACTGTGTGTAAACCTTGTGGGCGGGATGAAGAGAGGCAGAGGCGCGTCACTGTTGCTGTTAGTTGACCGGCAAGCTCAGGGGCCCAGCTATGGTAGCTGCCTCTGGGTTGTCAGCTGCGCCCAGGAGGTGAAGGTGGAAGGCATTCCTTAAAGACAGTGGCTTAGTGTACTTATTAAAAACCAAACCAAACCAGCCAACCAAACAAACAAAAAACACAGGAGAGAAAACCAAAGAAAAAAAGAAAAATAGAAAAAACCCCACAGTAGAGTGGGGCAATCTTGCCTTGTGGTTATGAGCACGGATGAGGGCAGACCCTCAGGGTCTGATTCCCAGCTGCCCTAGTTTTTAGTTATGAAACCATAAGCAAATTATTTAGCCACCCTAAATCTGCAAAATGGTGCTAAAATTGTACCTTTGCCATGGGGTTTTGAGGATCAAATACATTAATATAGTCATGTGTTGCTTAACAATAGGAATATGTTCTGAGAAATGTGTCATTAGGCGATTTTGTCATTGTGTGAACATCATAGAGTGTACTTAACACACACCTAGATGGTATAGCCTGCTGCACACCTAAGCTATATGGTGTAGCCTATTGGCTCCTGGGCTACAAGTGTGTATAGCATGTGAGTGTACTGAATACTGCATGCACTTGTAACACAACGGTAAGTATTTGAGTATCTAAATATATCTAAACATAGAAAAGGTCCACTAAAAATACGATACTATAATCTTTTGAGGCTACCGTTTTATATGCAGTCTGTTGTTGACCAAATGTTGTTATGCAGCACGTAACTGTATAAAGAAAGTACTTAAACAGAGCCTGTTCTTCTGCAGCTTGCCTTTATGTAGCCGAGGTGCTGAGCTCAGTGCCTGGCTGAGATTGTGCTCACTACAGGTTTGCCGCTGTGGCTGGTATTATAATTATAGTGATGATAATATTAAAGATTGGATAGAAATTACAATTGAAATATCATTTGCTCTTGGTACAGAATCTTACTTCCTGTTTTCTTAGATCATTACCTAGCTTATGATACCAAACCTCAAGAAGGCAGATCACATGGTGGGAGGCTCAGACAAGGATTATGAAACCATCAGGGGTGGGAAAAGGAGTGTTGTGCCCACGGACCCCTAGCCTGGAAAGGTGCAGGGATAGGATTTCCAGCAAGGAGCAAGTCAGCAAAGCCTCTGAATCTCAGCGTCCATGGGATGGGGACGTGGCCTGTGAAGAGCTGGTTTTCAGACTTAGGCCTGAACTATTCCTGCTGATGGATGGGAAATCTGGGTGGCTCACTCTTGGTGGAAGAAGAGGCTTGATTTGAGGAGGGTGTTACAGACAGGTGCACTGACGGAACCACAGAATTTCAGCACTGTTTGGAGTTGTGCTGCTAACATTGTGGGGCTGGCATAGGACCTTGGCGTGCTTCACTGGGAGCGACTGACTATAGATGGCTTCCACTCTTGTTTTACTTTAGGGATGAGTCCCAGAGAACTTGTCTTGTTCACAGTCGCATCACTAAGTCAGCAGTGCACAGGGAACTAGAGCTCCATTTCTGTCCTCCTTTCTGTGAGTCCCCAGTGTCACCCAGAGATGTTCAGGAGCCTCTGGGAGCTGACCACAGCCCGGGAGCAGAGGATCCCACTCACTGCTCTTGCGTTCCTCCTGCCTGCCCTTTTAATCTTATCTTTGGAGATGCTGTACACAGCCTTCTGTCAATGTCTCCCAAGGTGAAAGGCATGCTGGCCTGCCATCGAGGACTTAGGGTTAAGCATCTGAAGCTTAATAGAAGCCTGTGTCAACTCAGATCCCCATGGTCTCTAAAAAAACCTGGACCTGAATTTTTTAACGGAGCAGTTGGCATTGGTCCTGTTCAGTTTCTTCCTTGCTCCTTAGCTGTTCCTCAATTTTGGTCACGTATGGAGTTTAAATTTCTCCTCTTGAATTGTGCAGGTAACGATGGGAAAGGAACTCCTGTATTCACAGGGGAGGTTGACTGCACCTACTTCTTCACATGGGACACGGAATACGCCTGTGTTAAGGAGAAGGAAGACCTCCTCTGCGGTGCCACCGACGGGAAGAAGCGCTATGACCTGTCCGCGCTGGTCCGCCATGCAGGTACTGCCCTCCTTGCCATGCGGGTCTTAGTCCACATGCTCATGGAACATTTTCCCATGAGTACTTTTGGAAATGCGGTTACTATTTTCTTTGTCAGTGGGTTGCGTCACAGCCCTCCCCCAGTTTTTTCATGTGGCTGTGTGAATTATTAGAAGGAGCATTGGACTGGGAGGTGAAATAACTGAATTTGAGACCAGCATTTTTGACCTTGTGTTTTCACCCTTTTACACACTGCCTCTCTTCCATCTCTGAGGTGGGATCTGCAGCCTCTGCCCCCTGGGGTTCTTCTGTTTGGATCCTCTAGGCAGATGGATGTGCACCTTGGGCTGCTGTTCACCGCTGCCTCAGCGTGCAGTGGGCTTGTACTCGAGGCTGAGCTTGCTGTTGCACGGCAGGCACCGGATGAGGTGCCAAGGAGGCAGCAGCGCCCCCCACAGCACAACCCCTGTCCTTGGGGGCCTGGAATTTAGCAGGAAACAGAGCAGGTGGAATAATAAGAATGGGAGTCTCAAGCAGGGATAATCTGATGGGGGGGATTTCTGGTTTTACCCTCTTGGCAGCTCAAATTAGGTGTACAGAAGCCAGTTGCCTCTGTAAGGGGGAGATGACCCGAAGCAGAGAGAATGACTTGCCTCATGTAATTACCACCCAGAACAGTCACAGAACTGCTGGCGGTATGTTCTCGCTCGTAAGTGGGAGTTGAACATTGAGAACACATGGGCACAGAGGGGAACAGCACACACCATGGCCTGTTTAGGGTTGGGGGTGAGGGGAGGGAACTTAGAGGATGGATCAGTAGGTGCAGCAAACCACCATGGCACATGTATACCTATGTAACAAACCTGCACGTTCTCCACATGTATCTTGTTTTTTTTTAAAGAAAAATAAAACTGCCAGGGTGACAGCACTGCTGCTCCTGTCTTCTGAGTCCCACCTGGTTTGCTAAATACCAGGTTAGAAAGAGGAATCCCTCTTGTGGAGTGTTTGAGAACCTGCCTCACTGTGAACCGCCTGGGCAGGGAGTGCTGGCAGTGCTGTTGTGGTTAAACACCCTGTGTGCTGCTGGGAACGGTGCCATAGTTAATTCTGGCACATGTGTGCTAGTGAAGACATTGGTTTTCTGTGAAGTGGAAAGAGTTCTAGCTGCAGAGTTGGAGACCTGGCTGAGGACTGGTGTTGCCGCATCCAACCACATTTGCTTGAGCGAGCTGCTCTCCAGGCCCGGGTTTCTTACGGTGAACTGGGTGGTGCTGTTAGATTCCTTAAGTTAACTTTTTTTTTTTTAAACATTACTGTGTATAAGAGACAACCTAGGATCTATGAGATAAGGAGAGATACATTTTTCAATCTACAGACTTCCTGACATAGCTCTGGTTTCTTGGAATCTGCAGTATTTCGTGGTATTTGTGCGTAGATAGCCCTAAGTAAATTATGAAGGGAGAGCTAAAACCATTCCTTACTGCTTGAAGAAGTCCCTTAAGACTTTACAGCCCACCTGGCTCCACCCCAGACTTCCAGTGTTTAGGGCAGGTCCTTGTTCACATGCACAGTCTTGTATGGTTTCTTTTAGGCTGTTGACATTGGAAAGTACTTCTCCAAATGTACTGTATCACCACTGATGAGTCATGGGGTTTTGCCTTCCAAACCCCAGTACCCAACCTGCAAAGGGAGCATTTTCAAATGAGAACGTGTATTTTTATATCTTTACCTCCTCCTTGACACACTTTGTAAGTTACTCCTTCAGCGACTGTTCGCCGTGTGGTTTGCTTTTTGTGGATGCCCTCGCCCTTGCTTGCTGTGCTGGTGACACTCAGCTGGTGCCCCCTCACGTCCTGCAGGTGCCTAATCAGTGTCTGATCACACTGACCAGCTCACCAGTCTTGTGAGTTCAGCGGCCACCTGTGGTACCTTGCTTGTCTTCTGTGGTAGCATGCATTGCATCCTGCACTCAGTCTGCAGATGTGTAAGAGGTTGCTGGTTTCTTTTAGCTTCACAGGCCTTCACAGGGGCCGAGCGGGGTGTATTAGCAATGGTGTTAAGCGGGGTGTACTAGCAATGATGTACCACTCTACTGCGTCCCAAGACACAGGCTGGCTTCTTGATTTGGGTTTTCAGTTTCTAATTTCATACTGTGGGGCTTGGGAGAATTTTGCCGTTCAGTTCTCTGTCCCCCAGTTGGGCCTACTCTTCTGAAGAAGTATTGGGATGTAGTTTGTTTCTGTCACATTAAATGAGAAACCTGAGAATCTCGGTGAATTTTTGTGCTTTCAGTCTGCCCGGGTTCCAGAAACAGCGCTGGGGATTGAGTGACGAAGTGGTTTGGGAACTTTGAGCCCTTGACTTTTGGCTTAATCACTATTTATTCTGTGACTCAGAGAAATCAGCATTGCTTTTGGCTAAAATACACTTTTGTTTTGTTACAGAACCAGAGCAGAATTGGGAAGCTGTGGATGGCAGTCAGACGGAAACAGAGAAGAAGCATTTTTTCATTAATATTTGTCACAGAGTGCTGCAGGAAGGCAAGGCACGAGGGTGTCCCGAGGACGCGGCAGTGTGTGCAGTGGGTGAGTTGTGCCTGGATGGAAGATCTAGGTGATGCTTTTCTAGGGCATCCAGTTTGGAATGAGTTAGAAGATCTTTCTGTGGTTCATCTAAGCCTCCTCTTTCTATAATCACATGAAGGATGGTAAAAATTTTTCATTCATAACTCAAATGTCAGTAATTGCTTGATGCACTCTGGAATCCTGAAGTTGGCTAGAGCTCCCTGACATGGGCTAAAGCCATAACTGGGAACAGAAGGAACCACGTGGAAAATACTACATCATCTTTTTAGTTTGTAACCTGAAGAATAACATTGCCAGTGTTTGTGTACAAGTGATTTTATTTTATTTTTTAACAACTTTATTGCCTAGAATCGTTCAAAAGTTATGGCTTGAGTGAAGTGTAATCTCAGCTGTAGCCCTAGTGTAAGAGGGGCTTGCATGCTTCGCTTCCTTTTGCTGTCATTGTTTTGGTCCCGTAGCTGTCATGCAGAGACTTCTCAATTATTTGATACAGGTATTTAGCACTTCATTTTTGTCATTTATGACTCACTTTGAAAATGCCAGGCTATGAGAATAGTGAGAATCTGTTAAAAGCATTCAATAAGGAATTGTGAGCCTCGTTGGATTTTAGGAATTATCTCGGTATTCAGAATTGCTGGTGTGTCTTTAAAAGCAGGTTCAGGCATGTCCATGTCTTTACTAAGAAGGACTTTGGAACAGAGTTTTAATCCTTTATAACAAAAAGCAAGTGAACTAAGAAGTAAGCGGCCTCCTGCTTGGGTTGCTAAACAGGTTTCGTTAATTTCTGCTTTGGATATGAGACACATTCTCACCCTTTGGCTGTGTGGCTGTGCTTTCAAAAGACTTTGTGTCTTGGGGTAGCTGAAGCCCTGACAGTAGGGGACAATGTCAGTTTACAGTTGGTGCTGATGCATGTTGCAAGCCATTTGGTCTTTCTTGCCCTGGAAGGGCATTGTGCATCCTTCATGGCGCTTTCTGGCTGAACCTATGGATGACCCTGGAGGACCCCAATGTGGCTGTTAATGTCTAGCCAAACGTGGCACTCTAGGGAAACCCATCCGCTGCCTTGGTGGGTTCAGGGGGCTGGAGAAGGGCTGCACGTGCTGGGTTTGGGCTGATTTCTTTCTTTCTTTCTCTTTCTTTCTTTTTTTTTTAAGTCACTTCTTTGTCTGCGTGATGATCATTTTTAACCACATCTTCTGTTTTCTCCCCCTTTCTCTTCCAGATAAAAATGGAAGTAAAAATCTGGGAAAATTTATTTCCTCTCCCATGAAAGAGAAAGGAAACATTCAACTCTCTTATTCAGATGGTGATGATTGTGGTCATGGCAAGAAAATTAAAACTAATATCACACTTGTATGCAAGCCAGGTAAAAATTTTAAAAAAGATGAAATCTTTTCTGGCTTCTGCCAGAGGTCCTGCATTCTTCATATCTCTGTTCCTCATCAGTCACTGCAAAGCTGATCAGACAGATTGGCATGGTGTTCAGCATTTTGAGTTCCAGACTCTGGCGATGGGAGATAGGTCATTTGGAATTTTTCCCTCATCCCCTCCTCAAAACCAAATCAGAAATGGAGAAACCAGATGGTGTCAGAAGGGAGTTGTGGGTCTCAGCGCTGTATCCTCTTCCTCGGGACTGATACTCGGCCAGTCATGTGGTTACTTAACTTCCTTCAAAGGGGAAAAAAATCATAAATGGTTTAAAACATTGCCCGTGATCTCACCACTTAAACACAATGTTAATTTTCATTACCTTTATTTATAGATGTATGTTGTTTTTACCAAGTCAAAATTTTTATGGTAACAAATCTTAATGTTTCTCAAAGTGTAGTATTTTGTAAATACTTTTCTATGTTTCACAGTTCCATTAATAATTTTTAGGAACTTCCTTGTTGACATGGTGTGGTTTTACTATTTTTGAACATTTTCCTTATTGTTGGATTAATAGCGCGTTTCCAGTGTTGCTAATTGTGCTATTATGTATCCTCTCTCTACCTCCCATTGAAATATTTCCTTTGGATAAGTTCCCAGCTGTGGGATAAAGTCAGAAGCTAGGGTCATTTTGTTTGTTTGTTTTATATGGTAAAATATACAACATAACGTAAAATGTACCATCCTAACTGCTTTTAAGTGTGTAGCTTGGTGACATTGTTGTGTAATACCACCACCATCCATCTCCAGAACTTTTTGATCCTCCCAGACTGAAACTCAGTTCCCATTAAACACGAGCTCTCCATTCCCTCTCTTCTACTTTTTGTCTCTACGGATTTGACTGTTCTAGATACCTCATATAGGTGGAATGCTACAGTATTTGTAGGGCTGTTTTTTGACCCTTCTATGCATTATACCTCATTTCCCACTGTCCCTTCCAAGTCTACTTCTAGCAGAGAAGAATGAGGTAAGATATTTTAGGAATGAACGGATTAGTGATCCCCATCTCTTTTCCCCATTGACAGGTGATCTGGAAAGTGCACCAGTGTTGAGAACTTCTGGGGAAGGCGGTTGCTTTTATGAGTTTGAGTGGCACACAGCTGCGGCCTGTGTGCTGTCTAAGACAGAAGGGGAGAACTGCACGGTCTTTGACTCCCAGGCAGGTCTGTGTCCAAGCAGGACCTCTGCTTTAATGTGACTTGGAACCACTTAAGGTTTTTTCCTTAACATTCTGTGTGAGGTTTTCAAGGTGACCCGCCTTAGAATTTTATTCATGCTGTTTGAACAAAATTCTGAACATCCGATGTTTGAGGCTTATTTGAGATACTGAAAATACTATCTTAAATTCATTATTGAGGTGGTTTTGCTGAATGCAAAACCTTCGGAACACAAGGGAATAAATTATGTTTGAAAAGGCTTTCGTGTGAATTCTAGGCAAGAAACCTCTCTGAGGGAGACCTTACAAGAAGGCCATAATATCATGCTCGTCCTACTTTGAACATGCTGTTGTTTATTAGCCCAGCAGTTATGGGCTTTGAATAGCGCTTTAGGCTAACCCAGTAGAAGGGAATGGTGGAGTTGGATCCATCTCCAAGGAAAATGTTAGTAATCGCGGTTCTGGTGGCCTCAAGGGGCAGCGTCTCTTCTGCCTCCTCCACTTCTTCCTGCCGTTGGGAACCTCCTGGGAAGAACCTCTCCCTTTCAAACTGTGGGGTGAGACCACTCTGTTAACTGTCGGACTGACCTTCCATACTTTTATTGTTTTTATTCTTTCTTAGGGTTTTCTTTTGACTTATCACCTCTCACAAAGAAAAATGGTGCCTATAAAGTTGAGACAAAGAAGTATGACTTTTATATAAATGTGTGTGGCCCGGTGTCTGTGAGCCCCTGTCAGCCAGACTCAGGAGCCTGCCAGGTGGCAAAAAGGCAAGTAGCTTCTCAGTTCTGTTTCATTCTTAGGCATTATATGCTAAGAAATATTATTTTCAGGAATAGGTGTGTTCTCACTTAATGTCATTGCTTTATGACAAGCATTTAAATACTGATGAGACCTGGTCTGAAAACTGAAGGATGTTAGGAGTTTAATTTCCCAGAGAAAGGAGCAGGCCCATCCTTGGGAAAGAAGGGTGGATTGAGGTTATGCCTCACTATTGCGCATTTTGTGCTTCTCAGTGCCTAGATATCTCTGTGCGTATTTCTGCATTCTGCGTAACTGCAGTTCAAATGAAGTGAGTTGTCTAAACCAGCGGTGCCAAGAGGAGATTTGGGTCCCAGTGTTCCTGCTGCCGTTGGAGACCTTGTGTGGGTTCCTGTGGTCTGCAGCCCGGGCCTGGTTCTGGTGACTCCTCACGTCGCTCACGGGCCCTCCCTTCAGTGTGGCAGCCTTGGAGTGCTTCTGCCCCTCAGGTCTTTGCTGAGAGAAACGTGTGTTTATTTCAGTGATGAGAAGACTTGGAACTTGGGTCTGAGTAATGCGAAGCTTTCATATTATGATGGGATGATCCAACTGAACTACAGAGGCGGCACACCCTATAACAATGAAAGACACACACCGAGAGCTACGCTCATCACCTTTCTCTGTGATCGAGACGCGGGAGTGGGCTTCCCTGAATATCAGGTAGGAATGTTTGTTCCTCATCGCGCTCCCTGAGGATACTCATGCCTGTGGTGGGCCTTTCATTTAAGCAGAGCTTGTATCAGTCTGGGTTTCCAGCCAAATCATCACCGTCATTAGATTTGCCAGGGTGCCTGGGCAGTATTAGTATTTTAAGCTGTTTATTTAGTGGGTTGTGCACCTTAATAACAGCCCACAAGCCTGTCAGTTTTGGGTACAAAACATACAAAAGCATAAAAAAAAATCCTGAATTAACCCCCACTTAGCAGAGGCTAAATTTTCATCCTGATTTGTTACTGGACAGTCTTCTTTTTAATAAAATGAAGGGAGATGGGCAGACTAAGCTTTTCTTCACAGTTTCTCATTGGGAACATTGCTCTCGTCCTTTTTTGAATCCTGGTTTTATGTCACGTGTCTTTCTCTTTTTGCCATCCCTCCGCGCATCTGCCGTGGATTAGGAAGAGGATAACTCCACCTACAACTTCCGGTGGTACACCAGCTATGCCTGCCCGGAGGAGCCCCTGGAATGCGTAGTGACCGACCCCTCCACGCTGGAGCAGTACGACCTCTCCAGGTGAGGCAGAGTCAGCTGCTCTGTTTTTGGCCTGGTACAGATGCTGAGGTTGCAAGTGTTGCTGGTGAGCGTGTGACTGAGCTGATGATGGGGAGTGATGCTGGCTGTGGGGCTGCAGGACCAAGGTGGGGCATTTTCAGCAGAGTGAATTCTAATAACTGTCTGGTCGCCTTTGGGATAGCAACCAGTCTTGGCCACAGCAGAGCCTCGGCCTTTAGCTTCATCATTTAAAACAATGACTGTCAGTGCAGAGGCACGGGGGACAGTTAAGGTCCACTGCATACTGAGTTCAGCGAAGGTGGAGTGTAATCCTGGTGCGTCATGCGCCCAGACAAGCCAACTCCTGGTAGTGTGATTGGTGGAGCATGTTTTATTTGGTAGCTTTACTTCCCCAACTACATAGAAATAAATGAGACTGAAATGTGTAAGCTCTTTAAAAGCATATACATTTTGCTTTGAAATTTTAGTCTGGCAAAATCTGAAGGTGGCCTTGGAGGAAACTGGTATGCCATGGACAACTCAGGGGAACATGTCACGTGGAGGAAATACTACATTAACGTGTGTCGGCCTCTGAATCCAGTGCCGGGCTGCAACCGATATGCATCGGCTTGCCAGATGAAGTATGAAAAAGATCAGGTGAATCTGTTTTCACTGCTTGTCTCCTTTGCCCTCCTAATTCCATGACTTAGTGGGAGGAGGTGGTTATTCTGGGACATCCAGATCAAAGGCAGCACAGCTGCTCGAGAGAAACCCTCTGAGTAGGAGTGGGGCCTCCATGTGAACTCATCTGCCTCCTGTAGGAGCAGAAGTGTGTCACACAGGAATCATTGTTCACATGGAGAATGCTGTGTTGCAGACTTTTGATCACACAAAGGGCAGAGGAAGCACCGAATGGTTATGTCTAGCCTGAATTCAAAAGTGTCTTTAGGTGCTTTCAGCAGACACCTGTGAAAAAGAGAGTTTTGCTTCCAAAAGCTCTTGTTTCTGGATTGATTAGGGGGAAAAACCGATTTGGGAGAGTTGCTGTGGATGAACCAGATTCAAGCACACGCTCTCATTCGCTGCAGTTCGTCCCTGGGTTGAATGCAGTCACCGCCAGAACATTTACCCGTCTCCTGTGGTCGTTGTACGTGGTGAATCTTAAAAGAGATGTCTCTGGACATCTGTATTGGCTTCTGTAAAAATAGCATGTTGGGAATGTACTTTTCTTGGTGTATGCTAATGGCAGCTTGGAGGTTTTTGAAAGGAAGGTGGCAAGTGTGCTCTGGTGGTTAGGAATCGAGTTCCTGGTTGTGTTTACCTCTGCACATGTGTGTTCTTTACTGGAGCAATGAGTTCAGTGTATAGTCAGTCCTCTTTATTCACAGATTCTGCATCTGTGAACTTGCCTACTTGAGAACACGTGTAACTCCAAAATCACCACGCGGAACACTTTCTCAGTCATTGTTGGAACGAGTGTAGTGGCCCAATGTGCATAGTACCCGACAAGCCTGTTCCTGGTTGAAGTTGAACAGGGGGACACTCTGGCCTCTTGTTTCTGCCTCACCCTGAGATGAGCAGGGGATGGAGAGGGCGAGGCAGTGCAGTGCAAAAGCTCCAGCCCTGGGGCCAGTTGGACGGGGTCTGAATTCCAACTCTGGCATCTCAACTCAGAGATGCTCCAGAGCTGGAACTTCCGCGCTGCACTGCCTGGTAAGGTCTCCCTAAGAGAAGTTTCTTGCCTAGAATTCACACTAAAGCCTTTTCAAACATGACTTACTCCCTTGTGTTCGGAAAGTTTAGCGGGGCAGCCTTAGGTGAGCCACTTAACACTCCTTAACCTCGTTTTTCCTTCTGTAAAATAAAGAGAGTAGAATCTGTCAGCATGAGTTGTCTTGGGATTTCAGATTTATAATCTGTGTGTAATAGGTTTGTTTGCCTGATGTGCGGCCAGTCAGTACGCTGAGACATTGGGGATTACAGCCGAGAAAGAGTTTAATTGTAGGGCAGGCGAATGAGGAGATGAGAAGAAACCTCAAATTCACCTCCCTAAGGAATTTGGGTTGAGGGACTTAAGGGATTTGGAGCGGGCCAAGGTGTGGGGATTGTTTATTGGTAGAAGAGTGCAGGGTGAAGTCATCGGATGGGGAGATGAAGAAACTGCATTTGGTTCCCTGTAGGGAGGTCTTCATAGTGGTTAGTGTCAGCCGTTCCACCGGAATTCAGGATCTGAAGAACATCTTACACGATTATTGAACGAAAGCCTTATGATTCCAATGCCAGTGATTCTTTCTGTAGCAATAATGGGGATGTGACTAGTATCTAGTGCTATGTGACTTTCAGTTACAGGCCAGCATGCAGCCTGATTGGTGCTCAATTGCATGCCTGGAACGCAGCATGCAGTTGTTGTTAACTCTTTGAGGATGGTTTCCTATTCCATATGTAATAAGGGGATTTCCCCAGGAGCAGTGGTTCTGTATTCAATAATTCATTGTTTGCTGCAGCTTTATAGAATGTAACCACCACCAATAACGAATCGACTGTATCTTCAGGGGGAAAAGCCTAACAAGACTGGTTTTCTTGCAGGGCTCCTTCACTGAAGTGGTTTCCATCAGTAACTTGGGAATGGCAAAGACCGGCCCGGTGGTTGAGGACAGCGGCAGCCTCCTTCTGGAATACGTGAATGGGTCGGCCTGCACCACCAGCGATGGCAGACAGACCACATATACCACGAGGATCCATCTCGTCTGCTCCAGGGGCAGGCTGGTAAGGCACTGCTGCTGGCTGGTGACCTTCACTGCTGCATTTTTTGACTGAGCGTTGCCTTATGTGTCTCTTAACAGCAGCAGTCTTGGGGTGGGTGGCGGAGCTAGGCCAGTCTTAGTTCTGCTTAAGGTCAGTGTGCGGTATATATGTTCACAGGCAGGGAGTGATTTGTGGTACCTTCATGGCTGCGATTTCTGAAGTGTAAGCCTCATCTTTTGCTGCGGAGTTTGAGGCTCTGGTGACATACACTGTTTCCTGGATTTTTTTTCTGAGTCGTACAGACATTATCTTGCCTCTTAGTTCTTGTGAGTTGAGGATCGTGGCAGTGGAACGGGGCTTAGAGATAGTTTGGTCCTGTAGGGGCCAAGGGAAAGCTTCCCTTTCACCCTTTGAAGTTTCCCTGAAAATCAGCTGTCAACAGGAGAAAAGACATTAAAATTTTGACGTGCATAGCACCGGGGAATAAATAGCAGGAGAAAGATGACCCAGTAGCCTAATGCAACACAGAAGGTTATGTACCCTATTTCACAGGGGAGAGGGAGATAGGGGATGTAGACAGTTCTTTTGACGGGGCAGCAAATGATTATTTGGGAGAAAGAATGGACAGAAATTAACTTGCAAATGATTCTCTTTGGAGCCTGAATGAGGAAGGCATTATCTTGTGCACAAGTCTGTCCAGGTGTGATTGCTGTCCTCAGTCTTCTTTTGTGGGATAGATAATGAGATTTCCGAGTTTCTTTTGGAAAGAAGCCTTCTTGGTCAGGTAAGGAAATTCCAGAGAAAGTCTCTCCCTGTGCTTGAGGGTGGAGGTAACAAGGCACGGTTCAAAGGATGACCTTGATTCTCAGGCAGCTTCTCAGCATGTCAAAGCACTGATCCTTGGGGTATTGCTTTCTGAGCCCCAGCAGTCCAAACCACAAAGACCACAGATAGGAATCTGAGGCTTGGTATAGCTCAGGCCTGTGGGTGAACGATGAGGGCTGTATGTGTAATACAAAACAGGAATAAGAAATTAAGGCTGAGGGCTGGGCACAGTGGTTCAGATCTAACCCAGCACTGTGGAAGGCCAACATGGGAAGATCACTCACTTGAGGACAGGAATTGGTGACCAGCCTAGGCAACATAGTGAGACCCCATCTACAAAAAATTTAAAAAAAAATTTAGCCAAGTGTGGTGGCTCATGCCTGTAGTCCCAGTTACTCTGGAGGCTGAGGCAGGAGGATTCCTTGAGCCCAGGAGGTTGAGGATTCAGTGAGCCATGATTGCACTGCAGCCTGGGAGACAAAGCGAGCCCCTGTCTCAAAAAAAAAAAATTGGGAGGCAGAGGTAGGAGGATTGTTTGAGCCCAGGAGTCTCAGACTAGCCTGGGCAACTTAGTGAGACCCCATCTCTACAAAAAATTAGCCAAGTGTGGTGATGTGCACCTGTAGTCCTGGCTACTTGGGAGGCTGAGGTGGGAGGATCACTTGAGCCCAGGAGGCAGAGATTGCAGTGAGCTGAGGATGTGCTACTATACTGCAGCCCCTTGGCAACAGAGCAAGATCCTGTTTCAAAATAGTAATCATATAAACAACTTCAGCAAAGTCTCAGGATACAAAATCAAGGTGCAAAAATCACAAGCATTCCTATACACCATTAACAGACAAAGAGAGCCAAATCATGAGTGAACTCCCATTCACAATTGCTACAGAGAGAATAAAATACCTAGGAATCCAACTTACAAGGGATGTGAAGAACCTCTTCAAGGAGAACTACAAACCACTGCTCAAGGAAATAAAAGAGGACACAAACAAATGGAAGAATATTCCATGCTCATGGATAGGAAGAATCAGTGTCATGAAAATGGCCATACTGCCCAAAGTAATTTGTAGATTCAATACCATCCCCATCAAGCTACCAATGGTTTTCTTCACAGAATTGGAAAAAACTACTTTAAAGTTCATATGGAACCAAAAAAGAGCCCACATTGCCAAGACAATCCTAAGCAAAAAGAACAAAGCTGGAGGCATCATGCTACCTGACTTCAAACTATGCTACAAGGCTACAATAACCAAAACAGCATGGTACTGGTGCAAAACAGATATATAGACCAATGGAACCGAACAGAGTCCTCAGAAATAACACCACACATCTACAACCATCTGATCTTTGACAAACCTGACAAAAACAAGAAATGGGGAAAGGATTCCCTATTTAATAAATGGTGCTGGGAAAACTGGCTAGCCATATGTAGAAAGCTGAAACTGGATCCCTTCCTTACACCTGAGACAAAATTAATTCAAGATGGATTAAAGACTTAAATGTTAGACCTAAAACCATAAAAACCCTAGAAGAAAACCTAAGCAATACCATTCAGGACATAAGCATGGGCAAGGACTTCATGACTAAAACACCAAAAGCAATGGCAACAAAAGCCAGAATAGACAAATGGGATCTAATTAAACTAAAGACCTTCTGCACGGCAAAAGAAGCATGGATGAAGCTGGAAACCGTCATTCTCAGCAAACTATCATAAGGACAGAAAACCAAACACTGCATGTTCTCACTTATAGGTGGGAATTGAACAAGGAGATCACTTGGACACACGGTGGGGAACATCACACACCAGGGCCTGTTGGGGGCTGGGGGGGAGGGATAGCATTAGGAGAAATACCTAAATTAAATGATGAGTTGATGGGTGCAGCAAACCAACATGGCACATGTATACCTATGTATCAAACCTGCATGTTGTGCACATGTACCCTAGAACTTAACATATAATAAAAAAAGGTATTAAAAATAATAATAATAAAATGAATTAAGGCTAGGAGGTAGAGGAGGTGAGTGGGATTGATGTTGGCCCTGAGTTCCTTAGCCAGGGGACAACAGCAGACTGTGTGGAGTTTGCTCTGCTCTTCTCTCCATGGAAATGCTTTGGGGCCATTTTATACAGTCCCAATTGCTTCTGTTTTTTAATTGGGGTAAAATATATATAACATTAAACTGACCATTCTGACTGTCTTTGGGTTACATATATTATACACATCTCTGGTGTCCTGTATTTATCACCAGTATCCATGTCCAGGACTTTTACAGGGTCTTGCTGTGTCACCCAGGCTAGCGTGTAGTGGGTGTAATCATTGCTCACTGAATCACTGCAGCCTCGACTTCCTGGGCTCAAGTGACCCTGTCACCTCAGCCTCCTGAGTAGCTGGAACTACAGGTGGAGTTACCTGTAGTTATCAAAATGGTTTTTAAATTTTTTGAAGAGATGGGGGGTCTGTCTATGTGGCCCAAGCTGGTCTTAGAACTCCTAGGTTCAAGCAGTCCTCCTGCCTCAGCTTCCTAAAGTGCTGGGATTATAGGTATGAGCCACCATACACAGCCTAGAAGTTTTTTGATGGTCTCAAATCTAATTTGGAAAGGAGAGCTTTATTTCTCATAAAGATTTGCAGCCTGCAGGGTGGCCATTTCTGACAGGCTGGGAAGTGTAGCCTCAGGCCAGAAGCCAGAAACAAGCGCTGGGAGGGAGGAAGACTAAGACACGAATGGATGCTGAACAGGTTAGTCAAGTATACATATTCAGCAGGTTACAGGAGCAGCTATGCATATTCACGAAGGGATGGCACACACATGCGTGGTAGGCAACATGTATGCAGCATGTGTCCCCATGTTCATTTTGGGTTGAAGACATAACATTTAAATATATTACAGTTGGGCCCTGTATGTCGAAAGGTGAAGCAGAGGACATGAAGGCCCTCTGTGTGCAGCCTCCTTAGAAGGCCAGGACCACCTGGGAGTTGTGGTCTCTTATCAGCAGGGAATGCTGGTCGATTGTTGTGTTGTCAGAACCACAAAAAGGGATGGACGTTGTCAGGTGGTAGGTTGATACCAGCAGCAGAGTCTTTCAAAAGGGTCGGCTTCTGTTTAGCACTTAGGGAAGAAAGCCTAGTGGTTAACGAGGAAAGGGGTGTAATGGGGTATGTCTCACCTCCCACCCCGTCATGGACAGGAATGCAATTTTTAAGTTTCTCTGGAGTCCCCTTGGCTAAGAGTGGGGTGTGTTCAGTCAGTTATGGGGCTTAGGATTTTATTTTCATTTCTTATTACCTGTAGTTTTAGGTTTATACCAGGGTCATGTGTTTTTGAGAAATTATCAAATGGTTAGGAGAGTGGAGAGACTGGAAGCCATGTTCATTATCAACTAAATTATTAACAATCCCTTGTTAAGGGTGTGTGGCAGCTTCCTCAAGCCCCACTGAAATGAGCCAGCAGGATGCGTTCTTTCCCTGCAGTGGCCCAGTGGACGCTGCGTCACTCACCTGCCTGGTCTGCTTTGTCATTGGCTAACACTCTTTTTCCTGAGAGACACTTCCTTTAGAGTTGAAGATCTCGGTGATCAGGGAATGAATGACGGGCAGGCTGAGCTTGGCCCATGCTCTCTGCGGGAGGTGTTCTACCCAGGTTGTACACACTCTCCTTGGGTTCACCTGAGCTTGGGCCGCCCACTTCTTCTCTCAGTCTCAGGAAGGATCCAGGTTTGGTGTTCCACGGGGAGATGCCTAGGTTGCCCAGTTCAGCCTGCTGGTCTGTTTTTGGGCACATCTGTGCATTCCCTGCCTGTGGACTGCCCCCTCCTTCTCTGGTTTCTTGTTGCCATTGAGACACTGGGTAGTTCCAGAAAGTTCTTGGACCCTTGGTTTTCCAGCTTTTCTGTGATACCATATTTAGTTTACAGGGTAGCTTCACATTGTTGTCGTGTCTCTCAGCACTCATATAGGGCCTGCAGCACAGGAAATACACTCACTGAAGGAAGAAAGGGCCGCTCTCCCAGGGGTTTGCAGTCACAGAACTTTCACAGGCTAAAGCTCAGTCCCTTTCACAAGCACATTGTGAAGTGGAAGGAGCAGGTGTGTTTTTATTCTACTGCTAGTGTTGCTGAGGCCTGGAGTGGGTGGGGGCTTTCAAGGGTAGAGAGCCCTTGACGGCCAAGGGTGTGGACTCAGTGTTAGTGGCTGTTGTTCCTGAACCCGTGACCCTGGGCAGGTGTCTTAACTTCCTTGTGCCTCAGTTTTCTCATTTGTAGGCTGTGTTTGTGGGTCACTGTGAGGCGCAGTTGAGAAATACTAACAAAACTCATAGTGCAGTCCTGGTGTGTGATAAACACTCCCTGATCGGCAGCTACCATTGCCTGTGTGGTGGTGGTGCTCTCACAAAGCTAATGGCTCTTTGGGGGAGCTTTTTATGGAAACATACACACCGAAGGGCACACAGATGATAACGTGACACAGCTGGGTGAGTGTCCATAAACTACACATCAAGAAAGAACATGCTTCCCCCTAGGAGCCCTCCTGTGCCCTCTTCCTGCCACTGCTGAGCATCCTCCTGACCTCTGACAGCGCAGGCCATTGTTGCCCAATCCTGAGCTGATGTCAGTGAATCCTACGTACCGTTGCCTTTGTGTATGGCTTCTTGCATTCAACTTTTTGTGTAGGGTACTTTTCAGAACCTTGAGCTCAGACCTAGGTTTGGATCTGAATTCTACCATTTACTGCTGGCACGATTTCTATATTTCTGAATATCCAAGCGTAGGAGATTATTTTGTCTTCATAGGGAGAATGAGAACATTAAATTCTAATTAGGTAATGCACATTAAGTGCCTAGCTTATTGGCTGACTCATAATAAACATCTAGCAGATTTTGGCTATTTTTATGTCTCAGGCGAGTATTCTTTTGGTTCTATCAAGTTCCATGTTACTGTATTGACTTTTACCCTGGATTTGCCCATTCAGAACAGCCACCCCATCTTTTCTCTCAACTGGGAGTGTGTGGTCAGTTTCCTGTGGAACACAGAGGCTGCCTGTCCCATTCAGACAACGACGGATACAGACCAGGTACGTGTGCTTTCACCTGGCCCTCGTGCTGAGCTGCCTGCTGGACATCCTCAACTCACCCCAGTGTTCCAGCTCTGAACCGACCCCTGCCCCTTCTTTCTGAATCAGTTACTATGTTGCATTGACAATGGGTGTCTGCAGGTCACCCAGAGTTCCTCTCCACTCCGCAGCTCCCAGCTCCTGGGATAAGAACCAGGTCCCTCAGTCTTACTCTCTGCTCACTGTAGTTTCCTTCCTTTTGTTTCCATTCCTTTGTGCCTTCCATGTGGCAGTGGTATCCTGGTGGGCTCTGGGGCTTCTGCACCACCGGCAGATGTCTGACTAGTCGATACGTCACTCCACACCTAAACCATCTCAGTGCCTGTCCCCTAGAGGGTAGAGCCCGTATGTTTTAATGTGACCCTATCCATAGAGCACAGCCTGCAGGTGTTAATGTGATCCTGTCTATAGGGTAAGGCCTGTGTGTCTCTCACCTGTGCATAGGCCAGAGCCCACAGGTGTTAATGTGATCCTGTCTATAGGGTGAGGCTTGTGTGTCTCACCGTGGCCCTGTGTGTAGGGCAAAGCCCACAGGTGTTAATATGATCCTTTCTATAGGGTGAGGCCTGTGTGTCTCACCGTGGCCCTGTGCATAGTGCAGAGCCCACAGGTGTTAATGTGCCACTTGAGTCTCTCAGTGCCTACTGGCTCCTCCCGCCTTCTGCCCGGGTCCATGCCCTCCACTTGTTGAGTGCACCCTGCAGGGCATAGTAGTAAGCTGCTCAGTGACGTTCTCTCTGACCTCCCCAAGGTAGTGAGTTGTTTTCACAGCACCGTGTATATTTCTTTATGGTGGGACCTGTTTGCCTTCCCACTTCCTGTTCTAAGCTACACTGCAGACTCTGGCAGCAGAGACCAAGGCTTTTCCAAACCAACGGCCCCAGCACAGGGTCCTGGCTTTGTAACTGCTCAGTGAGGGCAGGATGCCAGGCACCCTGTTCATGGACAATGTTTCTGGGGCTGTGGCCACCGTCTCCTTCCCTGCATTCAGTGGACAGAGGGAGGCCCAGGGCAAAGTTAAATATGGAGAGGAGAGGATATCATTTGACAGTCACCTGGTCATACTTCCCATGATTACCTTAAGGGAATAATTGAGACAGAAAACAGAACATGAGATTTCTTAAGATGTTTATTTTCTTTAAGAAACTAATTTATGAGTCTTATATTTCCTCTCCAACTTTAGGGAGTAGCAATAGTCTTCTTAGGGAAATGCAGTAGCCTTAACAGCTTCCAGGTGAGTGTAATTTCTGAGTCTGGGCTCACACTTGGTATACTTCAGGGTGGTGTATTTGAAGAGGCTACATGTAGGGCTACATTTTTGATAGGGATTTTGAAAGTAAATGGAGAAACAGTTTTGTCAGGTGCATACTTGCAGGTTTCTGGAGGTGCTGTATGTATGTTATGTTCCTGTGGAATTGGTTTGAATGCGCCCCTTTTTCCCCATTTTGTTTCCTGTAGGCTTGCTCTATAAGGGATCCCAACAGTGGATTTGTGTTTAATCTTAATCCGCTAAACAGTTCGCAAGGATATAACGTCTCTGGCATTGGGAAGATTTTTATGGTAAGAGCGATATGATGCATTTCCAGTTTGCTTTGAAACAGGGGGAGAGTGCATTATTGAAGTCACCTGCACGTGGTGATATGAGAGAATTGCCCAGGCCACTGTGGTGGCAGCTCTTACTCAGAAGGAGATGGGAAAATCCAGATTTAAGGGAAAGATGAAGTAAAACCATTTACCACCATTCTGGCACAGTTCAGACGTGAAGACTGTTATTCTTCAAATAATAAGTTGTTCTCTTTAAGGAAACACTTTCTAAAGGTAGTGCTGAAGCCTGTACTCATTGTCCATTGGTCTCTCCTTACTGTATCTTCACACCAGAGAGCATAATTGACTTCATTTTTACAACTATAATATAATAATTTTTAATGGAATAACAAATTTAAGAAATGTAGGGTACCACTTTATATTTACTTGTAATTAACATGATTTCAATGATACATACTTTCTCATAATTGAAAATATTATAACATTATGACTTCTGTGTCTTCCCTCTCTTATATATGGTACATTATTACATGCAGTAGATCTTACACATTTATAGATACGGGGATGTATGAATTTAAATGATGTATAGATACTAAACCTTAAAGGCAGTTTATAGATACTGCCCTTTGGACTTATGTACTAACTGTACTAACATGCCAGAAAGTGGAAAGTTGGCAAGTTAACTAACAAATAAGAAATGTTTAACCTAGTGGGATTTGGAGTTGCTAGGGTTCTTGTCTGTGGTGAGATACGAGGCATAAATTTGTTTGTATGGCTCTTACCGTCTGACCTGCAGTTTAATGTCTGCGGCACAATGCCTGTCTGTGGGACCATCCTGGGAAAACCTGCTTCTGGCTGTGAGGCAGAAACCCAAACTGAAGAGCTCAAGAATTGGAAGCCAGCAAGGCCAGTCGGAATTGAGAAAAGCCTCCAGCTGTCCACAGAGGGCTTCATCACTCTGACCTACAAAGGGCCTCTCTCTGCCAAAGGTGAGCTCAGAGCCATGTTGTTTTGTAGCTAAAAAGGGCCCTGGTGGCTCTGTGGCTGGCCATGCACCTTCCTGAGTGTAGGATGTGCACATCCCCCGCCACCATGGGCTGTGCTGTCCACCTTGCTGCAGGAGCCATCACGGTGGTCTTCCTGCGTTTGACCTCGCAGAATACAGGGGTCCCGTTATCCGTGGCTTCACTTTTGTGGTATCACATGGTCCGAAAATAATAAGGTATTTTGTGAGAAAGAATGAGAGAAACCACATTCACGTAACTGTCATTACAGATATTGTTACAGTTGTTCTGTTTTATTGTTGATCTCTTGCTGTGCCTAGCTTACAAATTGAGCTTCATCCTCTGTATGTGTGTATAGGAAACAGCATAGTATATATAGGGTTCTCAATTTCAGGCATTCACTGTGGGTCTCGGAACATATCCCCCCGCAGATAAGGGGGGCTGCTGTAGCCTGTATTCAACACAGCAGTCAGAGTGATGTTTCTGAAACATCACATCATATCACTTCCCAGCTCAGAGCCCTCGGAGGCTCTGCACTGTACCTAGAGTAGAAGCCAGTGTCCACAGTACGGCCATGGGACGCCCGTGGGGGCTCTCTGAGATGATCACCCCCTGCTGCTCTTCCCGCTTGGCCCGCTGGCCTCCCTGTTTCTGATATAAACAAAGTGCACTGTCTCCCACCCTCCCCTCTTGAATCTTTGTACTTGCTCCTCGCTCTGCAACCAGCACAGCTGCAGGCAGGGGTTTTCGTCTGCTTCATTCATTCCGATACATGGTAGGAACTTAGTATTTGTTCAATAAGCCAACGAATTAGAGTTACATTGTCTTCTAATGCTTGGATTGGTAAACTCGTGGGATTTAAATATTTTCTGGAAGAGTAGGAATGCCAGGATGTTAGGCTTATGGTAGAAACCTGTCATAACATAGGCCGCTGTTGCAGTGTGTAAAGCTGTCATCACATAGGCCACCATTGCAGTGAGTGTGTAAACCTGTCATAACACAGGCCACCGTTGCAGTGAGTGTGTAAACCTGTCATCACATAGGCCACCATTGGAGCGAGTGTGTAAACCTGTCATAACACAGGCCACCGTTGCAGTGAGTGTGTAAACCTGTCATCACATAGGCCACCATTGGAGCGAGTGTGTAAACCTGTCATAACACAGGCCACCGTTGCAGTGTGTAAACCTGTTGTAACACAGGCCACTGTTGCAGTGAGTGTGTAAACCTGTCATAGGCCACTGTTGTAGCGAGTGTGACCACTTTGTTCATGTCGAGTCCCTCGATACACACTTGGTGCCCTGGTGTCATTGCTCCCACGAACGGCTGTGAAGCTTGTTGCCAGTGGCAGCCTTGTCCTGTTGCTGCACTGTGCTTGTGGGCTGCGCCATGAATACTGTTCTGTCTCTTAAAATCTGGGCCTTCTTGCTTTACAGGTACCGCTGATGCTTTTATCGTCCGCTTTGTTTGCAATGATGATGTTTACTCAGGGCCCCTCAAATTCCTGCATCAAGATATCGACTCTGGGCAAGGGATCCGAAACACTTACTTTGAGTTTGAAACCGCGTTGGCCTGTGTTCCTTCTCCAGTGGACTGCCAAGTCACCGGTAAGGCCGTGCGGCCTAAGAACTGAGAGGCCGGTCAAGAGTCAGTGTGTGTGTGAGTGGATATGAAGGTGTGTTTCTGTGTGTATGTATATTTGTGTGTGTGTGGTGTGTATGCTTGGTTATGCAGGCAGCGTGACATTTCTGTTATATATTCTCTTTGAATGATGCCTAGAGTTGTAATGTTTTTCTTGAAGAGAATCTGACTATATAGTTAATGGTTTTAAGCTATCTTTTGGGATCAGATACATCTTAAGAACAGAGAAGAAAATGCAGAGGAAACACATTTCACATGTACTGTCAGAGCTTCTTATTTGAGGGTGAAAAAAAAAGAAAAAGATGTTAAACTCCCTAAGCTGTGCCCTGGAAGCTGACAGTGTATACAGGAGACCTTGACCTCTGGGATTGACCCTGCCTGCTCTGCAACAGTGGTACTTCCTTGTCAAGGGCAGTGGGGGTTTGGCTTTTTTCTTTAAAGAGTCTTTAGGGACTCACTATGTTGCCCAGGCTGGCCTTGAACTCCTGGTCCTAAGTGATCCTCCTGCCTCAGCCTCCAAAGTAGCTGACTACAGGCGCATGCCACCAGGCCCGGCTGTGAAGGGCAGTTTTGAGGGACAGAGTGGGTGTGTTTTGTAGGCAAAGCCTCTCAGCCTCCCGTGGATTTCCTTATCCTCACAGTTAGGAATGCCAGGTTCACGCCTCCTCAGGGCTTATTTAGGGTGAAAGGCAGTTCTTGAGTGCTCACAAGGAGGCAGAGTTCTCCAGCGTGGTTTTTTGTTGTGTTTCAGACCTGGCTGGAAATGAGTACGACCTGACTGGCCTAAGCACAGTCAGGAAACCTTGGACGGCTGTTGACACCTCTGTCGATGGGAGAAAGAGGACTTTCTATTTGAGCGTTTGCAATCCTCTCCCTTACATTCCTGGATGCCAGGGTGAGTTCTCCTTGGTCTCTTGATTGGCGTCTGTTCATTTTATTAGAGCATTTGACTCAAGGTCATCGCCTTCCTCATGCCCAAACCACTTATTCTGTTCTTCCAGGCAGCGCAGTGGGGTCTTGCTTAGTGTCAGAAGGCAATAGCTGGAATCTGGGTGTGGTGCAGATGAGTCCCCAAGCCGCGGCGAATGGATCTTTGAGCATCATGTATGTCAACGGTGACAAGTGTGGGAACCAGCGCTTCTCCACCAGGATCACGTTTGAGTGTGCTCAGATATCGGTGTGTGTTCAGACCAGCAATGAGATGTTGTCCCCGGGTGACTCCATTTCCCATTTCCCTTGAACCTCTGAATCTTCTATCTTGTTTAAAACTTGCCTGTGTTTTCGTGGAGTTTCAGCCATTGCTAGGGTTTGACGAGAATGCACTCATTTCTTCAGGTCTTAAATGTTTAATAAATGTTACGTAGTTTGCACATGGAGGTCAAAGATTGGGTACTAACTGTGGCTATCATTTATTTAATTTTTTTTTTTTTTTTTTTTTTTGAGATGGAGTCTTACTCTGTCACCCAGGCTGGAGTGCAGTGGTGCAATCTTGGCTCACTGCAACCTCCGCCCCCCAGGTTCAAGTGATTCTCCTGCCTCAGCCTCCCGAGTAGCTGGGATTACAGGCACCTGCCACCACGCCCAGCTAACTTTTGTATTTTTAGTAGAGACGGGGTTTCACCATCTTGGCCAGGCTGATCTTGAACTCCTGAACTTGTGATCCACCCGTCTCGGCCTCCCAAAGTGCTGAGATTACAGGTGTGAGCCACCGTGCCCGGCCCCATTTGATTAATTTTTAAAATAAACAGGAAACAAATCAGGCTGCTGATTTATATTACAGGGCTCACCAGCATTTCAGCTTCAGGATGGTTGTGAGTACGTGTTTATCTGGAGAACTGTGGAAGCCTGTCCCGTTGTCAGAGTGGAAGGTAGGACTGGGCCTGTCCCTACAAGTCATTTTAAATGTATAGAGTAGCAGACGTTCTGAACGATGCCTTAGATATGAGACCGTGTGATAACAGCCATAGCTGGGGTCATGAGACACACGCTAGGGGGAGGATAATTTCTTTTCCTTGAGCTTTTTTTTTTACTGAAGCATATTGCTAATTTCACGAGTGACATTTTCCTTGTGTGCCTGGATTGATGGGATTTTGGCGTCTGATGCTTGAAGACACTAATGTGGGGTTTGGTTTTGTGTTGTTTGATGAAGCAAGTCTTTATTCGGGGACCTAGACTTTCCTAGAAAGCTGTTTGCCAGGCGATTTGTATTATATATAAACAAAATCATGTGGAAATGGCTTTTAATGCCCATTTATAGCTGGTATTTACCTAACCAAAAATTGTAAAAGTTTTTTTTTTTTTTTTTGAGACCGAGTTTTGCTCTGTTGCCAGGCTGGAGTGTAATGGCGCCATCTCGGCTCACTGCAACCTCTGCCTCTTGGGTTCAAGTGATTCTCCTGCCTCAGCCTCCTGAGTAGCTGGGACTACAGGGTGCCTGCCACCATGCCCAGCTAATTTTTGTATTTTTAGTAGAGACGGGGTTTCACCATGTTGGCCAGGATGGTCTAGATCTCTTGACCTAGTAATCCACCCGCCTCAGCCTCCCAAAGTGCTGGGATTACAGGCGTGAGCCACTGCGCCCGGCCATTTGTAAAGCTTTTTGCTTGAAAATGTGAATGCGTGTGTGGTTGCAGTTGCCCTTCACTTCTTCCATGTTCTTGAAGGGGACAACTGTGAGGTGAAAGACCCAAGGCATGGCAACTTGTATGACCTGAAGCCCCTGGGCCTCAACGACACCATCGTGAGCGCTGGCGAATACACTTATTACTTCCGGGTCTGTGGGAAGCTTTCCTCAGACGTCTGCCCCACAAGTGACAAGTCCAAGGTGGTCTCCTCATGTCAGGAAAAGCGGGAACCGCAGGGATTTCACAAAGTGGCAGGTACCATTGTTTGTCGTTTTCCTTTTGTTGCAAAGGAATGGAATTAAAATATTAAAATATTTTGCTGAAGATGAATTTTCCCTTGAGTCAGAAACATGAGTGTTCTACTGTAAAAAAAAAAAAAAGCATATTAATGATATTTCGGATTTTGCTTGATTTTCTTAAACAGAGTACATACTGAAGGATGTTGGTAGAGCATGTCTATTTTATTCTTAGTTAGCCATGCCAGTTACTGACTCTAAGGTCATATTTCTCTTCTTTATTACAACGTTGGGACACAGTGAGCTAGCCAGTGTTGGATGTTCTGGGGTAGTACTTGATAGCATTGAGTCACAGGGAATGCATTTAGTACGAGGTTTGGCTGTAGAAATTACAGGGCACGCTGTTGGTCATTCATGCTGTTTCAGCAGTTGGGCAAGATTTAAATACATTTAGGAACTTGTAAAAATGAAGTCAAAGTAGCTGGTGGTGAGTACGTGGACAGCCCTCAGGCACAGTGGAGAAAGTGACATTCCCTTAGGTGATGAGGCTAAGGAATGCCTCATGTCATCATACACGGGTCAGTCTGTGACGTTGCAGCAGCCTTGGACAAGGGGAAGCCTGATTTTATTCCCAAAGTGTAATGTGACAGGAGTGCATGGTATGGTGCTGGGAGGCCAGGGATACTTTGTCTCACACTCTTCAGGGTGTGTGGTGTCACATGTCTTAGGCTAAGTTTGACAGCCTAGGGACCCGAACCAAACCTTGTTTAATGTTCTCCTTCTTTACAGGTCTCCTGACTCAGAAGCTAACTTATGAAAATGGCTTGTTAAAAATGAACTTCACGGGGGGGGACACTTGCCATAAGGTTTATCAGCGCTCCACAGCCATCTTCTTCTACTGTGACCGCGGCACCCAGCGGGTGAGCATGTACCGACGGCCCTCAGCGGGGTCTTCTCCCCACCCTCAGGCTGCTGGGATCATATTAGAAAGAATCTGTCCTCAGATCTCATCAAATCTCCTGGTTAACTGAGTTTAAAATAACCATTTACAGAAAATATGTTGAAACTTTCATCAGTTAGTATTGATTTTCATGAACGTAACCATTCTTTACTATTTTCATTCTTAAAACTCAAAGTATAAACTAAAGTTTTGCATTCTCACTTTTATATATGTGCCTCTTAACTTTTTTAGCCAGTATTTCTAAAGGAGACTTCAGATTGTTCCTACTTGTTTGAGTGGCGAACGCAGTATGCCTGCCCACCTTTCGATCTGACTGAATGTTCATTCAAGTAAGTCCATGGATGTGTTGTCTCTTTTGGACAGACTAACTTGGTATGATTTTGCTTTAATAATTAGTGGTCTTGGGTGCAGGGGATTAGATTAGTCAGTTAATTTACCTAGGACTCGGTTTGCTCATATTAAAATGAGGAGTCGGGCTAGGTTAACTCTCAGCTCCGTCACCACCTGGAGCTGCTGTGGTGACTGCATGGGGAAGGGATTGGAGCTGAAGCAGAGAGTGGACCCCTGGCACTCTTGCGTGATCCACATGTCAGTGAGCAGAGTGGGCCAGGAGCGGTGTGGTGACCCCTGCGATGAAGGGAGGTCTTCGTTGCATGTGATCGTCCACAGAGCTGCTCTCAACAGCTTTGCCAGATCGCCCTCTGGACACCTGGGGTCCCATCCTTAGAGATTTTGGTTTTGTGGGTCTGCGGTTCTGTTTTTTGGAGGGATGCCCTGTGTTCTGCCGTGTGAAACACCCAGTATGAGCCACTTGATCACTGTTGACTTTCCTGGGGGAAAGTGCAGGTGATTCTGTTTCCTTCCGGCCTTTGTCCTGTTGTGTCATCGGTTATTTATGTAGGTGAAATCATCATTTAAGTTTTAGGAACGTATGTAAATGCAAGCATTTAGTAATTTATGTTCAGTGACTTTAAATCATAATTTTAGTAACCTTACCTTTTCCAGTTAACATTTTGTAAATATTTTCATGTGAAACAAATTTGTTTCTCATTTCTACTGGATGGGAAATGTCCTCAGTAGATATCCCCAGTTCACTTAGCAGTTCTCTTTCTGCCATGTGAGGCTGCCTTCAGTTTTCTGATATTTATATACAAGGAATAAAATTTTGATTTTCTTTGCACATAAAGCATTTTTCCTAGAGATATGTGTATGTGTGTGTGTGTGTGTGTGTGTGTGTGTGTGTATATATATATATATATATATATATATATATGTATTTTTTTTGAGATGGAATCTCGCTCTGTCACCCAGGCTGAAGTGCAGTGGCGTGATCTTGTCTCACTGCAACCTCCTCCTCCCTGGTTCAAGCAATTCTCCTGTCTCAGCATCCCTAGTAGCTGGGATTACAGACACCACCATGCCTGGCTAATTTTTGTGGTGTTTTTTTTTTTTTTTTTAATGAGACAGAGTCTTGCACTGTCGCCCAGGCTGGAGTGCAGTGGCGTGATCTCGACTCACTGCAACCTCCGCCTCCCGGGTTCAAGTGACTCTCCTGCCTCAGCCTCCCGAGTAGCTGGGATTACAGGCGCCCGCCACCACACCTGGCGAATTTTTTTGTATTTTTAGTAGAGATGGGGTTCCACTATGTTGGCCAGGCTGGTCTCGAACTCTTGACCTCGTGATTCGCCCGCCTTGGCCTCCCAAAGTGCTGGGATTACAAGTGTGAGCCACTGAGCCAGCCTATTTTTTGTATTTTTAGTAGAGACAGGGTTTCACCATGTTGGCCAGGCTGGTCTTGAACTGCTGACTGCAGGTCATCCTCCGTCTGCCTTGGCCTCCCAAAGTGCTGGGATTATAGGTGTGAGCCACTGCGCCCGGCCTTCCTAAAGATATTTTTATGCTAAGTTTTTAAAAGTAGAATTAAATCAGAGGAGAATTTTATAATCTCATAATAAAAGTTAATATATGTCTATTGTAATTGAGAGTCCAAAAATATTAATAGATGAAATTACCCACCCTCACCTCTCCCTCCCCAACCCCTAGCTTCACTCCACTTTTTACTGTTTCTTCTTGTGGTTCTTTTTGGAACCTTCTATAACTCTAAACCTCTGTTTGTCAGCTTCTAATGGTGTCTGTTGACTCTCTTTTAAAAGATGAAAGCTGTCCTCACCTGTGCTGTTCTCCTCTCCTCTTTCCTCTGCCTTGGCTTTGTTAGTTCTATTTCTGTTTCTTCTGTTGACTACTTTTAGAGCATTTGGTGATATTCACTAAGCTCTGTTCTTGTCCCATCACCTTCAGGCAGCTTTCCCTTCCTGCCACCTGCCCCTGGTTTGGGCACTCCTCCTCTCGTGCGTGCAGTACTGCAGCTGCCACTCCGAGGTCTCCTTGCCATGTCCCTTGTCACACGTTTGGTTAGTCCCACACAGTAATTAGAATGATCCTCTTGAGATATAAGTCCCACCATGTCGCTCTTGCTGAAACCTTCAATGCAGTGAGCGCCCATCTCATTGGGACCTACAGGCTGAAGTTCTTCCTCTGATGGACATGACCCCCGTGTTGTCTCTAATAACCTCACTTTCACTCTGTTCCAGCCACACGGGGTTTCTGTCTTTCTCGGGTCATGTCGGGCTTATGTGCCTCGGGCCCTTTGCTCATGCTGTTCTCTGCCTGGGATGCGCTTTACTGGGTGCCAGGATGGTCAGTGATTCCATTTCTCTCAGAGTCTATTCACAGGTCCCCTTCTCGGTCACGCCTTCTCTGGCTCCACTGTCTAAAATTTCAACAGCTGCCTCTGCCCCCCGAACTTCATATCCCCCTTATCTGCCTTTTTTCCTTCAGCTCTTACTTCCATCAAATACAGTATGTATTTTTAAAAGTCTTATCTTGTTCACGGTCATTTTCTTCCACAGGTAATTTTGGTAAACTTTGTAAGATTGATGATGTTTAATACTGTTTTGTTTAATACAGTACCCCCAGTTTAGCACACAGCTTTTGAATGAATGACCAGTTTTTATTCCCCTCTGAAGCGCTAAGAGCTGCCGCTGAGGTGGCATCTGTAGCTGCTCCCGTTCCTGCTCCGTGGTGGCAGAGTGTGTGTCTCACTCACTGTTAATATTGCTCCTGGCATGGGGTTGGTTCCCAGTTACTGTCTGTATTTGGGATTTGTGTAGTTAGTGAACCTTTAGCCTGTGCAGAAAGGTCAGCAAGCCCATTTTAATTTCAGAATTTCAGTAACTGCTGGCGGCCTTGGTTTTAAACAACAGGTGGCGTGCGGCTGCCCCGGGCATGGCCCCTGCTGTGTGTGCTCCTAGCATCTTGGCTGCTTACCTTTGTCACCAGCAAGTTCCACTTCTCAGTGGCCTGAGCACAGACGGCACGCACTTTGCAGACTTGAGTTTTTCTGTTAAAATTTAAATTTTTTTTTAAGTGAGCCTAATAGTTTCCTGAACTATTATGTTCAGGGAAGTTATGTTGTTGCTGATTCTGATGGGGGGTGTGTGTGTGTGTGTGTGTGTGTGTGTGTGTGTGTGTGTGTGACAGAGACAGAGAGAAGTCGAGTCTAAAGTTCTGTCAGGCTTAGACTATGCCTGAATACTTGAACGTTTCTAGACAGAGTGCCCAATGTTTAAAGAGAATACGACCAAGCCTAACTAACTGCGGGTTTTCTTCTTTTCAGAGATGGGGCTGGCAACTCCTTCGACCTCTCGTCCCTGTCAAGGTACAGTGACAACTGGGAAGCCATCACTGGGACGGGGGACCCGGAGCACTACCTCATCAATGTCTGCAAGTCTCTGGCCCCGCAGGCTGGCACTGGTGAGAGAGGGCCTCCTCGTGGGGTGGTGTTTGCAGTGAGTGTATCACAGGCCAGCACTGGTGAGAGGGGGCCTCCTCGTGGGGTGGTGGTTGTAGTGAGTGTATCACAGGCTGGCACTGGTGAGAGAGGGCCTCCTCGTGGGGTGGTGTTTGCTGTGAGTGTATCACAGGCCAGCACTGGTGAGAGAGGTCCTCCTCGTGGGGTGGTGGTTGTAGTGAGTGTATCGAAGGCTGGCACTGGTGAGAGAGGACCTCCTCATGGGGTGGTGGTTGCAATGAATGTATTGAAAGCTGGCACTGGTGAGAGAGGGCCTCCTCGTGGGATGGTGTTTGCAGTGAGTGTATTGAAGGCTGGCACTGGTGAGAGAGGGCCTCTTCATGGGGTGGTGGCTTGTCATGAGTTTATCAGGGAAGATCAAGTAGGATGGGGATTCTTTGGAGGCGCTTTACTCTCTGCAGCATGGACGTGGTTCGGCCGAGAAACAGCAGGACGAAGAATGATTTAAGGGTGTTAACAGTTGATCCCTAGTATGGCCCAGGGTAAATCAGTGCTGAGGACTGCTGGGAACATGATAACCCTTTCTGAACATGAGGAGATGAAGATATAATAGATAGAAATAATAGCCATGGTGAGGAATCCTTCTTAGCAGGTAGAAGATGGGGGGTGTGACGTGGAGGTCTTGGTGTGTGCCTGCGTATGTTGAGAGTTGTATGGTCGGTCCTTTTGTGATGCAGGGACAGCTCACTCAAACCTGCGGTGGTTGGCTGAGACTGGATGTCAGCTGTACATGGGAAACCAAGGGCACCTCCAGGGATCTTGGTACCACTCATGGCCCCTCGGAACCCTGAAGATGAAACTCATCCCATGTTCGTGGAGTTTCATACAGCCCCACCTGCATCTTGGGTGGCTCACCTCAAAGGCGGTGTGGTTATTTTTAGCTGCAGAAGGTGGTTCCATCCTCTGTGTGGTTTGAGGCTGTGGTTCCACTTCCCCTTGCTGCGTTGTGCTGTGCAGACTTCGACAGTGGCTGTACCCCTGTGGCATGGGACTAGTTCTTCACCCAGGGCACATGGCACAGGCATTTTAGGGACTGGGAAACAGGCAGAATTCTTGGTAGCTTCTTGAATAAAGAAGGTGCATGGACGTAGGCCATTTAAAATGTTCCTCTGTCTTAATTTGGGAATATAACCTTCATCCTATATGGGGTTCAGAAAGAATTTCGACTGCTACAGCCTAGCTATTCCTCTACACTCACGCCCGCCTGCCCCAGTCCATCTGTGACAAAACAGCATGTAAGTGAGTGAGAACTAACGTGATGTCATTGTCATCTGACTTATGTGAAAGAAATAGCAGGTATTTTGAAGTGACTCTTAGAAAGCGTATGAAGTTCTGCAGCGTGTGTGACATTTATTGCCTGATGAAGTTCTGTTCTAGCCTGGGGAGTCACTAAAGGCAACTCTTTCTTGTGTCTGGTGCTGCAGAGCCGTGCCCTCCAGAAGCAGCCGCGTGTCTGCTGGGTGGCTCCAAGCCCGTGAACCTCGGCAGGGTAAGGGACGGACCTCAGTGGAGAGATGGCATAATTGTCCTGAAATACGTTGATGGCGACTTATGTCCAGATGGGATTCGGAAAAAGTCAACCACCATCCGATTCACCTGCAGCGAGAGCCAAGTGGTAAGGGACTGTTCCTGCACCTTCTGCTGTTGCAGCTTTGGGAATTGAGCCCATGTGCAGGGCGGTGAGCCGCACGTCCTCATCTGCCTTGGGATGCGAGTTCTAGAGCCTGGGATGATGCGCCCTTACCAGAGGTTGGGGGAACAGCGTCGCCGCGGCCTGCAATCTGGGGAACCCTCGTGCTGTCTGGCTCCTTAGAAGCTTGCCTGGCAGTTCCCGACTCAGAATTGGTTCTCTTCAGAGTTTGACTCAGACCCCTAAAGGCTGTGGAGGAGATTGTTGTTTGACTACATGCCCTTTTGTCTTCACGGCGGCAGCTTGGGAAGCACGAGAAGGTTGGCTGGGCCCGGGTCACAGGTAGCGCTGCCACTTCCCAGCCACATAACTTGGTTAATTACTCAGGTAGTCTGCCCTGCTCAGCCGTTCATAACATGAGGCATACTTGTCCTGCCCATTGCAGGGTTTCGAGAGAAGAGGTAGGAAGTGCCAGGTGTCATTTCTGACACACGGGAGATGCACAGTCAGTGAGCATGAGTGCCTGTGATCAGTTCTTCCCTTACTTGTTTGGCATGCACGTAAGCAGGTGTCGACTGCATACAGGTTTTTCTGTGTGTGAGATTGTGGTGAGCCCCAGTGCTAGCGTGCATGACAAGCTCGGTGGCTGAGTTGGGCATTAACTCGGGCAAGACCAGCTCGCTGGGTGTCAGGGTGGCTCGCCCCATGCTCTCCAGC